>NC_000004.12:114981987-115133502 GCF_000001405.40 Homo sapiens
CGAGATCTGGTTGTTTCAAAGTGTGTGGCACTTCCCCCCAAACACACTCTCTCTCTTCCTGTGAGTCAATTAAACTTACTTTCTTTATAAATGATCCAGTCTCAGGTATGTGTTTACAGCAGTGTAAGAATGAACTAATACAGAAAATTGGTATTGGGAGTGGGGCACTGCTATAATGACACCTGAAAATGTGGAAGCAACTTTGGAACTGGGTAATGGGCAGAAGTTGGAACAGTTTGAAGGGTTCAGAAGAAGACAGGAAGATGTGGGAAAGGTTGGAACTTCCTAGAGACTTGTTGAATGGTTGTGACCAAAATGCTGATAGTGATATGGACAATGAAGCCCAGGCTGAGGTGGTCTCAGATGGAGATGGGGAACTTATTGGAAACTAGAGCAAAGGTCATTCTTGCTATATTTTAGCAAAGAGACTAGAGGAATTTTGTCCCTGCTCTAAAAATCTTTGAAACTTTGAACTTGAGAGAGATGATCAAGGGCGTCTGGAGGAACAAATTTCTAAGAAGCAAAGTGTTGAAGATATGGCCTGGCCCTTCCTAAAAGCCTAACTCATTTGCATAAAGAAAGAGATGGTCTGAAATGGGAACTTATATTTAAAAGTGAAGCAGAACATAAAAGTTGGAAAAAATTGCAGCCTGACCATATGGTAGAAAAGAAAAATCCATTTTCTGGGGAGGAATTCAAGCCCAAGCCAGCTGCAGACACTTGCATAAGTCAAGAGGAGCCAAATGTTAATCACCAAGACAATGGGGAAAGTGTCTCCAGAGCATTTCAGAGACCTTCACAGCAGCCCCTCCCATCACAGGCCCAGAGGCCTGAGAGAGAAAAATGGTTTCTTGGGTCAAATTCATGGCCCAGCTTCTCTGTGCAGCCTAGGGATATGGTGCCCTGCATCCCAGCCACTCCAGCTCCAGCCATGGCTAAAACGGGTCAAGGTACAGCTCACGTTGTGGCTTCAGAGGGTGCAAGCTCCAAGCCTTGGTGGCTTCCATGTGGTGTTGGGCCTGCAGGTGGGAAGGAGGTAAGAGTTGAGATTTGGGAACCTTCACCTGGATTTCAGAGGATGTATTGAAATTCCTGGATATTCAGGCAAAATCTGCTGCAGGAGCAGAGCCCTCATGGAGAATTTCTACCAGGGCAGTGCAGAGGGGAAATGTGGGGTTGGAACACCCTTTCCAAATCCCCACTGGGGCACTGCCTAGTGGAGCTGTGAGAAGAGGGAGACCATCCGCCAGACCACAGAATGGTAAATTCACTGACCAGCTTCCACTGTGTGCCTGGAAAGTGCAAACTCTCAATGCCAGCCTGTGAAAGCAGCCATGGGGGCTGTACCCTTCAAAACCACAGGGCAGAGTTGCCCAGGGCCTTGGGAGTCCACCCCTTGAATCAGCGTGTCCTGGATGTGAGACCTGAACTCAAAGAAGATTATTTTGGAGTTTTTAGATTTAATGACTGCCCTGCTGGGTTTCAGACTTGCACAGGGCCTGTAGCCCCTTTTTTTTGGCCAAATTCTTCTATTTGGAATGGGAGCATTTACCAAATGCCTTTACCTGCATTGTATCTTGGAAGTAACTAGCTTGTTTTTGATTTTACAGCCTCATAGGCAGAAGGAACTTACTTTGTCTCAGATGAGAATTTAGACTTAGACTTTTGGGTTAATGCTGGAATGAGTTAAGACTGAGGGAGACTGTTGGAAAGGCATGACTGTATTTTGAAATGTGAGAAGGATATGAGATTTGGGAGGGGCCAGGGGCAGAATGATATGGTTGGGCTCTGTGTCCCCACCCAAATCTCATGTCAAATTGTAATCCCCACATGTGGAATGTGGGGCATGGTTGAAGGAGATTGGATCATGAGGGTGGTTTCTAATGGTTTCGCACTATCCCCCAAGTGCAGTCTTGTGACAGAGTTCTCACAAGATCTGGTTGTTTAAAAGTGTGTGGCACTTTCCCCTTGCACTCTTTATTTCTTCCTCCTCCTGCCAAGTAAGATGTGCCTTGCTTCCCCTTTGCTTTCCACCATGATTTTAAGTTTCATGAGGTCTTCCCAGCCATGTAGAACTGTGAGTGAATTAAACTTCTTTCTTTCTACATTATTGAGTCTTGGATATGTCTTTATAGCAGTGTGAACAAACTAATACTATTTATTTATTTATTTATTTATTTATTTATTTATTTATTTATTGAGATGGAGTCTCACTCTGGCTGATGGAGTCACCCAGGCTGGAGTACAGTGGCATGACCTCAGGTCACTGCAACCTCCACCTCCCAAGTTCAACTGATTCTCCTGCCTCAGCCTCCTGAGTAGATGGGACTACAGGCACCCACCACCATGCCAGGATAATTTTTGTATTTTTAGTAGAGATGGGCTTTCACCATATTGGCCAGGCTGATCTCGAACTCCTGACCTTGTGATCCACCCATCCCAAAGTGCTGGGATTACAGGCATGAGCAACGGCGCCAGGCCTAATACAGTCTTATATTTTCAAAATTTCAAAACAGCTACCTCAGAGTGATAGTGTTTGTTTTATATGGTCTTTTATCATACTTAATAGCTCAATAAAAAGGTGTCTTATTTATCCTAAGTAGATTATGATATGGGAATCAGAAGAGATAACTTATATTTATATTTTCCAGGTAAAAAATATTGCTTTATGGAAAGATTAAATAGTCCACCCAGATAACACAAGAAGAAGACCAAAATTGACCATGCCTGCCTTAAAACTCAGTCTAACCTTAGTAACCTTATATTCCAATATAGCAAGTTTGTGTGCCTACCTCAGTAAAATGGAGTTGGGATTCCATAAACTTTTGCTTCGATACTATTTGTAAATTTACAATTGAAGATGAATAGGGCTGACCCAGGATGAAAATATGAAGCTTTTAAAATTTGCATTTTATAGCTCTACCTTTCTTCTTACTCATCTTGATCTCATTTCTTTCTGATAAACTGTTACTGCTACTCAAGGAGGAATTTGCTATAATGTATACATTAACAAAAAACTTATACCAAGTTTTCTACGTAATATCATGTTAAATGGTTTAGCTCAGATTGTGAAATGGATAAGTTAATTAATTAAAAATGAGTGAATGCTTCTGATGACAATACTGAACAAGTACAAGGGTATTTATGGGGAGAAAGTTTGAACTGTAGGGATCCTACTTCTGAAATCACACTCAATCTGAAAAAAAACCTAGTGAGCCAAAGAACACCTTGACATTTCAGAGCAATTTTTCCTTTCCTCTTTTCACCCACCAGTTAAGTATTTCGTTGCCATTTTTCTTTTTTGGTCTGTCTCCAGGAAGACAGGAATCTAAAAGCTCACTCTCTTTGGGCACTCTTCCCTCCTTTTGCCACTCTTCATTCATTCATTCAAACAATATTAATTGGACTGTATGTTTTAGGTACTCAGGATAGAGTGGAGAATGGCAAAAATAATATCTAATATTATCAAGCTTTTACTATGTGTTAGGTGATGAGCAACACTCTAATTATTTATTTAAATCTTCCAGTGACCTTTTTATTAATCCTGTCTTACAAGTGGAGAAAATAATGCACGGAGAGGCTACATAAATTATGCTAGGTATGGAGTTAGAAAGTACCTGATAAACAAAACTGGTAAGTTTTCTGGTTTTTGATGGAACCTACATTCTTTTTAGACACACAGAGGATACACATAACAAATCAATCAAATAATTTTTTAATTACAAATTGTTACTAGTGTTGCAAAGTTAATTTTAGTACCATGCTATTATTGAAAGAAACACAAAGTATCAGTATCTACGTTTCAACAAGGTAGACAATGAGATCAATAAAGTCCACCCTGGAAAAGTGGCAGGCCATTTTGTTGAGGCATGGAAAATAACAGACCAGTTATGCCTAAAATGGGACCTGGGGAGTCTGCTCCAAACAATGGGGCCAGTGAGAACAGATCTTAGGGTCAGGAAAGAACTTAGCGTCGTTAATTTCAAAACTTTGTTACACAGGATTGGAGGGTAAGTTTCAGGAACTAACTGCACACAAAATGTATATATACCGGTAAGGATAATGGTTTCATTGCATTAGGAGTATTTTTTGAATACTGGAAGTTTAAACGTTGATACTGATTAAACATACTGGCAAAGAGAAGAAAAAAATTAAAAATTGGTTTGACCTTATAAAATAATATTAAATCATGTCACATATGTGAAGAGTTTGCATTTTCTGCCTGATTATCAAAGAACACAATGAAGGTTATATAAATCATTAAACTGCAGTGTGTTCATTGTGTTGTAAATTTTATTTCATTGCATCAGCCAAACACTCCACGTGTCTTTGACTCCTTTCCTAGTAGATGTGAGTGGATGTGTCTCGTGCCCTAAACGTTGTTACTGGAGGGTGTCCTGGTCATCTCCTTTCCACAGAACTATAAGCCACTGATTTTAGTCCACTCTGAAAGTGTGTAAGACGAGCTTCTGCTTCTGTTTTCTGATTGGCATTCTGGTTCTCTCCCTGAGATCAGAAAATTTCCTTAAGAATGCTGAAATACTGTTCAGTTCTTATAAGTCCTAATCTCTCTTTCAATTGTATCTTATTTCAGTTCATAAAGATCATCTCAAACTATGTCTGCGTCCTGCACTCTCTTCCTCTGGTTTCTGTTTCCCATGCTCTACTGAATTGATTGAAATTTTGAATCAAGTTAGTATATTTGAATAAAATGTGATCTCATTATGACCCTTCAAATGGTATCAGTTAGGGCACTGGCATTTTTGTTTATAATTTAGTTCCTCTAAGCCTGGTATCCAATTATACATATATATATATATATATATATATATATATATATATATATTTTAATATACTATTCCTATAAGCTCTTGCTCTCAAGTCTCCATTATAACTTATAAAATTTTTTTGTCTTGTAAAAAGATAAATATATATTTTAACTTCAGAGGTCATTGTTTGTGTGGCATAATTATTTCCTTAAAAGCTTCTTATAAGATAATCACAAAAATAACTCATATTTCCTAAAGGCAAAGTATTTAAATATGTCATAGAGTAATAGTGACGTAGAACTCAAGCTAGTTAGGATTTCTTTGAAAATAGCGGAATGAATCTTTTAGTCATTTTAACCTCAATGACTTAAAAATGGCTTTAGGAATAATATGAAATCAAATAGCCAAGAATAACATACATATACATATACGACATAAACAAAATAATCAAGTCAAAATCTTTTTTGGGTCAGAGTGGGAGACAAGGAGTTTATAACACAAAATATCCCCAAGAATTCTCAGAAAGGATCTGAGAACTGGGTCCAAGTTCTCTTTGCATTTGTTGCAACTTTAAAATGTAACTTGAATCCCTCTGCAAAATCCTGGCTTTTGTGTTGGAAGGCCAGCTTGATGGAGATACTTTGCATTGCATGTGGAAGCTCCAGAGCAGGTACAGATTTGGTTACCACTGTCAGAAATGGCTTAAGATCTGCAGAATGTGGATGTTTGAGCTACCTTCTTCTTCAAGTGATTATAGAAAATTTCACTGTGTAGGAAGAGATAAGTAGTGAAACAGAAATCTTTACCACAGACAAGTGGTAAACCAAACTATGATCCATGGGTCACTATAAATTTGGGTCTATAAAATTAAATGTCTGTGAAAAAATAATTGTATCTTCAAAATGTTTAGGAAACACACTGTATCATACACCACTAGAGAAGGTCTCAACCCACATTAACATACTGAAGTCCTTTGATAGGAAAAATCTTGCACTTAATGTATCTTATCTTTTACCTCAAATAATCAGCCAGAAACACCCACCTCCACTTGCTTAAGTTTATGGTTTGCTTATTTAGGAAAAAACATTAAGTGAATGTCTGATCATGGGAAAGTGAGGTGTCTTTTGGGGTCATGATCTCCTCTATTGAATATAGTTTCCTACTTATTATGCAATGCAAATGAAAAATGTAATAGCTGTGATTTTACATGAAATGTGATTCTGAATATGCATGCAGTCAAATAATCACATTAACTCTCTGCAAGTGATCTGTACAAAGGAGTGTTTTTCCATTATTCCAGGATTTGCTATTGTTAAGGAGCTTCAAATAAAGATAAATTCCTTCATATTATGGAATTCTGAAAATATATTTAGAATTAACAATTATAATTTTGATAAATATTATAGTATATTTCTTAAAGCATCTTATTCTTGCTGAGAAATCATGAAAAACAACTATTAAGTTAATGAAAACAACTTTTAAGTTGTTAATGAAATGTGGATTAATTCAAATTTTCATGATCAATTTTATAAACTTTTTGAAAATTTTCATATGATACGTGGTTGAGTATTTTGTAAGCACACAGATACACATATCTTTTTTTTTTTTTTTTTTTTTTTTTTTGAGACAGAGTCTCGATCTGTAGCCCAGGCTGGAGTGCAGTGGCGCAATCTTGGCTCACTTCAAGCTCCACCTCCCGGGTTCATGCCATCCTCCTGCCTCAGCCTCCCAAGTAGCTGGGACTACAGGCGCCCGCCACCACGCCTGGCTAATTTTTTGTATTTTTAGTAGAGATGGGGTTTCACTGTGTTAGCCAGGATGGTCTCAATCTCCTGACCTTGTGATCCACCCACCTTGGCCTCCCAAAGTGCTGGGATTACAGGTGTGAGCCACCATGCCCGGCCTACATACGTCTTTAAATGTGTACCCCCAAAACCACTTTCAAAGGCTGAATATCAAATTATGAGTCAGTTTATATACATTTGAGGCATTAAGGCTTATTTATTTTTTAAGCTCAAATGTAGTAGAATTTTCTCAGTGCACCGCCAGTAGGATAAATATAACTAATTTTAGATTTTGTTATAAATATGAAAACCATTATTATTCATATAGGACCATAATTGGTTATAGAAACTAGAAGAAAAACATATATACTAAAATCCATAGTATAGCAAAATATTTTAAGATGGATTTTTCTTTACTTGGCAGATAAATCTTTTTCTTGTGGAAAGTCTCTCCCTCTGACAAAAACTTAAGAGTTTCAAAAACAAAAACTCCTGTGATATCTTGTTGTCACCTCCTTGACTCAGCCCTATTTAAAGTCTAATTATGATGCACATTTATAACAAAGTAGGTGACATAATCTAATAAACACCTGCTAGTCTACCAAGTGATTTTCTGTAGATGAAGGGAAGCTAGTGAGACACTCATGAAAGAGAACAGCAATACCAAAAATGCATGAATGGTAACATTTTCCAGTACAGCTCTCATTTCCCAACAAGAGACAGAAACAGTATAATTATTTTCTGTATGAATGGTATCCTTTGGAGTTCTGTGACTGACATTATCTACCTTTGACATTATTTCTTTAATAAAGACATTTTGGTGTAATTTAACTTTAAGTGAACTATGTTGCCATGCTTACCTATTCAAGAAATATTTAAGCAGCTAATATAGTCCAGCTGTTGTAGGGACTGGAGATTCAGTTTTGAATGAAACAAACAGTCCTTTGGTTAGGAGTTTGTATTTCAGTGACACAAACAATAAACAAAGAAATTACTAATACATTGCAGTTGAACCTGTGGGAAGCCATTGGAGAGTTTTGAGCAGATACATAATATTCATGATTTATACCTTAAATATTTGGCCACTGTATGAAGAATTGCCTGGGTCAGAGCTGGAGAAGAATGAAATAGGAAAACATGTAGAGGAGAAAAACAGGTTAGCCAATTGAGAAATGAGGGTCCTGGAGTTTGTAGTAAAGCAGGAAGAAAGTGGTCAGATTTGGGACGTAGTTTGAAGATAAAGTTTCTAGAACTCTTAATATCAAATGATACATTAAATGCAGGTTGTGAAAGAATTGAATGTAGCATATGATGACTTCTGATTTGTTCCCAGGCTTTATGTATCAGATGAACACTGTTTGCAAAGTACCAGCTACCTTTATTCTTCAGTAGAGAAGTGTCTCTTCAAAATCCCTGTCTAGCCTTTAGTGAGTTGACTTCATCGGCATAAATCAGGTGTTCTTAATCTATGACATTTTTGACACTTCCATTTTTTTTTATGTCTGCGTTTTCATGAGAGCTCAAGAAGTGGGGAATAGAAGCAATTTTGTTCCAATATTTTGAAGAAAAGATGATAGAATGAGTAATCAAGCAAAATAACTATCCTAATTCTTTTAAAATTTAAGAAGCATAGTAGATACAGGTTCATTGTGGAGGAAATATCAAATTGAAACAAATTTCTAATTTTACATAAGGAATCTAAAACAATGAAGAATAAAAAACACATTATTACTAGCACTTTTATTCCATTCACTGAATTATTAAAATAAAACTCCTAATTATTATTTTACTAACTATAGCTCATTTAATATTATAAAAATTCACAAAGTATTCAAATTTATGGATACAACATTCTTTGTATTGTATAAATGAAGTATAGTAGCTCTTTTAAATAAGCTCTTAAGGAATCCCTTGACCAAAAGATATTTTATAAACTACAAGGATGTTTTATTAACTGATTCTTTAGTTTGACATTGCAAATATCTCTTATCTTGGGCCAGCAGTGAGATAAAGTCACTTAAAAAAATCTTACATCCCACATTATTTTACATTAATCACTAGAATTACGTTTAGAAATTTTTGAGTGATCTTTATTCTTCCTAATTGTTGCATGTATCAAGCAAGACAGATATATTTCTACAATATCTTTGTTAATAACTAACACATCACACATTTACATAATACACTTTTTGGGACAATTTCTGTGGTAACATTTCATGGCTAATAGGAAGCAATTTGCTTTTCTTTATTAAGTGCATTAAAACTTTATGCCCCAGACATCATTGACAGTAAACATTTGATTCTGCTCAAATTTAACGCACCGAGGCATTTCGCTGTGCCATATTAGGTTTATTTATGTGCTGTGTTCTGCATTGTTAGCTGCTAATGAGACTTCAACTCTTATTGCTCTAAGGCCTGAACACTAACCTCATTTTAATGAGTTCATTATTTGCTGTCTTCTGAGAGGAAGACAACAAATTTTCCTTTTAATTAAAGGTCAAAACACCTCTGGCGAAGTAAAGAGAAGAGGTTATCAAACCCTGGGAGAAGATGAGAGATAGCTCTTTCGGATTTCTAAGCTAAGCAGAATGAGTATAGACTGGTGTAGGCCCTGGTTTCTCAAGACTATAGACAGTCGATCAATCTCTCGAGACCATGGTGCACTTATTTAAGACAAATGAGAATAATACAACATGATAGCTAATGTGCCTAAGACTTTGTAAAAAATGAAAGTCAGCCAAAGTAATTAAAGAGGCTTTACTCCTAACCAAAAGGGCCTTGTGGATCAATACCACTGCAGGAGCAAGACTCCTCTTTTGCATGACGAATGAGTTATGGGGTGAAGAGAACAAATGCCACATTAACTGAGCCAAGAAAAACTATTCTCAAATATTTTACCACTGAAAGTAAAGCAAAGGCAAATAAATATTTTGAAGAACTATTTTTTAATAACATAAAGGGTATGTGGACACAGCATGTGATATAGGAATACACATTGTATATTCAGAAAAACCTGGCTGCTAAAATGTGACATTCCTGGAAATATCAGTTGTTATTCACATTTGCAGGCAATGCATACCTCTAGCCACAAGAGAAAAGCGAAATCTCAATAATATCAAAACAGATAATATGAACAACTTGTTACTTATATAAAATTTAATACAAATGAAATTAACAGACTTAGGCACAAAATTAAATGGAGTATTTATACTTAACAAATAATGTGCTTATATTACAAACCAAAAATTTTCATGGTGCTCTGATGACATACACATTCTACATATGGATTATTTGAATCTTGTACTACACTGCTTTTTAATTAAAATTTAACCTAATTCTAATAAAATATTTTTATTTGTACATATGCCTTCAATAACTTTAATGTGTGAGATCTGGCATATACCTTTTTATGTTTCTAGTATTGTTTCTGGTTTAAAGTATATAATCAGTATATCTTTTTCTTCAATACATTGTTTATTACAGAAAAATCTCAAAAATAGTACGGTTCCCATATACCGAATACTTATTGCATTATATGTTAGTATGGTACAGTTGTCACAATTAACGAACCAATATTGGTACATTATTATTAGCTGAAGTACATACTTTATTTTTTTTCAGTTTTTCCCTAATTTCCTTTTTCTGTTCCAGGATCCCATCAGGATAACACATTACATTTATTTATAGTTTTTACATCTCCTTAAGCTACTCTTGCCTGCAACATTTAAAGGTATCTTAATTTTTTTAAGAGATGTTTTAGGTTTACAGAAAAACTAAGCAGAAATTACAGAGTTCTATGTCCCCTGTCTTCTCACTCCCGCCCCACCACCCAGATTCCTCTGTTGTTGACAGTTTCCATTATGTGATGCATTTATTACAATTTATGAATGAATGTTAACACATTACTCTTAATTAAAGTTCCGAATTTACATTAGGATTCACTGGGTTGTACAGGTGACCCTTCACAGAACATGTTTGAACTATATGGGTCTGCTTATAGGAAGGTTTTTTTTTTTTTTCAATAAATAAAGTTGACCTTTTGTTTCCATGGGTTTCACATCTGCCACAAAACTCAGATAGAAAATACAGTATTTACAGGATGCCAAACCTGTGGATACTATGCATAATCTCCATTGAGCATTTTACAATTTTCAAAAGGTCATTATATGGTATTTCATTTAACTTTTACAATAATTCTATGCACATTTATTTCACAGATAAGTTTTACAATTAATTTAGAAAGGGGTGTTGCTTAACCAGTCTCTAAATCTCTGATCTAAACTCTAAATCTCTGATCCCAAATCTGTTCTTTACATTTCCTATGAGAACTCTAGCTCCTGGGTATAGGTGGCATCAACTACTCACTGATGGTCAGCTGAATTGTAAATATTTTATCTGATATTTGTATATTTTACTTAAAAAATAACCACTTCAGTTCCAGAATTCAATGTTCCAAAAGAAAGAATTAAAATTCACAGAAATGAAATAGTATTTAAATAATTATATATCTTTCTAACTTAGTTTCATGGTGTACTATAGATAGTAAGTGCTTAGAATTTCAAATAAAGAGATGACACTCATATTGCAAAGGCTCCATATTTTATTTATAATTTTAGCTGAGGCATTACAAATATTTTTGCTTATTATTCTTTTTTAGATGCTAAGATCCTAGGATTTTTGGGAATATAGAAATGACATCTGGGTGTGCACTACTAAAGTGGATCTAATTTTGAAAGTTTAGGATTCATCTATTTGGACAATATCTGTATTAGTTGTGCATTTCTTCATGTATCTGTAAGAATTGGAGTAGGCAAAAAACTTACTTGAACGTTCCTTCACCTTGTAGCCTTAAAATTATTGTTTCTGTTTTAAGTAATACTAGTTATAGAGGTAGTGCTGGGTACCAAGTGGAGAAATCAGAAATAGAAAGTGGCTCACTCAGCATTAATTGCAGTTTGGTATCACACTTCCCAATTGGACATATATTCTGTTGCCTTTACACCTATTTTTGTTGGAGAATATATGTTTTCCTTAAATCTGCTTTTGACATAGAAATACATGTAAAATACTTAAAAATATCTTAGCCTCTGTTTTAAAAACCAAATGATGAAGGCAACTGCTCATCTAGGTGTTGTGTGAAATATGGAAACCTGTGCATTCATAAAGTCTATCTTCCGCTAATCAACTGTCTAAAAAAGTTCCATCCTTGTCCATAAATTTAGCTCCTTAAAGACATTGCTTTTCTAGTTTTCAGTTGTACCACTGCAACTCAGGATGCAAAATAAAATTGGGAATTTTGTTTTTATTCATGATTCATAAGTGATCACATACATTCCATATCTTCTCTAACAACAGTGTCTATTGACAAATCTTAAGGAAATTGCTAAAAGTATGATGCTTCCTCTATTCCATTTTTCAAAGCCATATTGAATCCAGACATTTGGCCCAGACATTGATGCCATATTGTTAAAACACATTTGTATAAATTCCAAAAAGAATATCTGACTTTCTGATAGAGTATTCTGCTTTGTAAAAATTCATATTCTTGTTTCTATTTAATGAAACTTGTATTGCTGGAGTACTTAGTAGCCACTTAGAACTGCTCCGTGATCTTAGCAAGAAAAAAATAATAAAGTAACTGTTCTTACATTTAAAATATGTAATTTTCTGCTGAACAAACAAAACAGAATAAAGTTGTCTAAAAAATTTTATGTTCCATATGACTTAACACCTTCTGGTATACCATATAATTTAGCATTATATATCTAAACTTTCTCCCAGCCACTTGAATGAGAGCAGAGAACCTTTCTTTCTTTGCAAGTATACATACACGCTTGGAATATTTGGCTTCACCTCAAATCTCCTTGCTTTTTTTCTGTCTTTCTTTGTACCATGATGCATCCCATGAGCCTAAAAGTACCTAGAACACAGAGTGATCAATAAGTGTGTATGGGATGAATGCTAGTAGCGTTTGAAACTGATGGAAATCAGTTACAAGGAGGTAGGTGCTCAACACTCATGTCCCCAGGGTAAAGAAATTTCCAGTGTTGCTGTAATTACTGTCAGTTGACTGAGATGAATAGGAAATCATGTTCAAATACAAAAATGTTTTCCTTAGTTACCGAACCATTGTATACAGCTGGGTTTTGGAGCCTTTGGGGTTAGATGATGATACAACAAGAATAAGACTGCAATATGAAGAATACTTTGAGCTTGGAAAAAATCTTATCCTCTTGGGTTTAAAAAACATTAATGGCTTTCATTTTTCCTGTTAATTAATCAACAAGCCATCACTAACTATTTATGATTAACTAACCAGAAAATGACAGGCTGAATGAAGGGAATCATAAAATCTCCACAAATTTCTTAAGCAGCAGAAGAAAAATTCTTGACTAAATTATCTGCTTTTTTTGGGATAGGTCACTTCAGGAAGTCTGAAATTTTATCTGATTTATCAATATTATAGATTATTGAACTTGGACCAGAAGTATAAATTTAGACACTAAAATGTGTGTTGAACTGGCTAATTCTCACAACTTTTCCTCTAGAATCCCCAAGAAGCATTTAAGTTATTATTCTTTCTCATTATTACTAATTTCACCTAAGCCGAGTAGAAAGCTATGCAGTTATAAACAGTCCATTTAATGATATAATGGGATGAAGCCAGAACTGTCTTACTACTGTTAAGGGAAATATGAATGTAGAATCATTAATGTGATTCTTACATTAATGTGAATGTAAGTGACACATTTGCAATGACAGGCTGATAATATTCTTATTTGAATTAAGAGATTAGCTAGATTCATAATCATGTATACTATTGATTCATTTTCAATTGCTACCTCTATTTTCTATTTTCACTTAGAAGTAACAAACAGCAAAAGTATTTTGACATCTCTTTTGTAGAGATAACTATTATCATTACAATGCTGACATCCTGGCATTGAAAGGTAATGTTAATTTGAATAAGCATCTGACTTAGACATACATGTACAGTCATTTTGTACTGCCTAATGTACTCCATTCAGACCATCAAATATGGTTACAGACTAAATGATGTTAAACAATCCTGATACTTCTGTGGGAATTTTATTTGAATTCTCCAAAATGATCTTCCCAATTATTCATTTTTATCAGAATGCTTCTGTTTTTATTTGTTTTTATTTCCTATATGGTGCATTTAATTGTTACAAATGTTTTTTAAAATCTCTCTGTAACTTACTATGCAAAAAACTTTTTTTTGATGTATTAAATGACAACTCAGTAAAGATTTAAAGTAGAAACTTGGGTTGTCCACTGACTGGCTGAGTGAGTTTCCTGAACCTTAGTTTTCTTATTCTTAAAATAGGGAGAAAAATACTTACCTTAAAGAATTAATGTGCAATATAAATGAAATGACTCATACAAGTCATATGCAATATGCATATAGTATTTATATTCATGAAGAAACAAAAAACTAGAATGATCATAATATTGCTGACATTTCCATAGGAAACTTATCTTAAGAGATCATAATCCAGGTTCTCTGATTTCCCAGTTTATATGGTTTGGCTCTGTATCCCCACTCAAATCTCACCTTGAATTGTAATCCCCATAATCTCCACATGTCAAGGGCAGGACCAGGTAGAGGTAATCAGATCATGGATGCAGTTTCCCCTATGCCGTTCTTGTGATAGTGAGTGAGTTCTCAGATCTGATGGTTTTATAAGCGTCTGGTGTTTCCCCTGCTTGCACTCATTCTCTTTCCCGCTGCCCCTGTGAAGAGGTGCCTTCCACCACGACTGTAAGTTTCCTGAGTCCCCCCAAATCATGCAGAACTGTGAGTCAATTAAATCCCTTTTCTTTATAAATTACTCAGACCTGAGTATTTCTTTATAGCAACGTAAGAAAGAACTAATACAGCAGTTTTCTGTCATGTTATATTGTTATGACTCATAACTAATTCCCAATTTTGTGTATGAAAAGACTTTTTCAAGATAAGAACACCTTTAAGTAATAGAAACATCCAAGAGGCCTTTTAAGGACTGATCTTAGCTCTCCTCTCTGTTTCCTAGGTTCTAGCTTCTGCATCAAGCCAAGTCCCCCTCCTTGTACCTGTCAGAGAATGGTCAGCCAAAAATCAAATAAGCACATCTCATTTTTATTACAACAAATTCCTTAGGTTATTTAAAGAAGACCGATACTAAAAATTAAAATTTCATTCGGTATGTGTTCCTCACTAGTTTAAATTGAGAACTCAAACTACTTGCCAATGTACTTCTTTTCATGCAGGCAAAATTAGAAAATGATTCTAGATAATTTCTTTTTCATGTGTTCATAGGTGGCCTCATAGAGCAAAACAAAAATTAAAAAGTCATGTTTAGAAGAAATATCTACTTACTTTTACTCAAATGAGTTCATAAATATCAATGGTGCTGCAGGGTATTGTATTAAATAGGTACTTCTGGTACCTATGAGGCAGCTACCTGACCTAGCAATGTTGTATTTTGTTGCTTAAATGTCTCTACCATGGACAAAGTCATTTAGATATTTTTCACTTCCTCCTATTTTCCGCTTATCCAGGATAATGATGTGACCTATTTGCCAATATGATTCATTTTCTAACTTCGGAGCTTTTGCTTATGTGGAGTATTTTTCACTTCCACCAAAGCCCTATTGCAAAACTAGTATTCCCACTAACTAGTCCTCTTATAAACCCAAAACTTCCACAATGTTTTTCCAGATTATTTAAGAGGAGAAAATTTATTGTTTCATATTATTTTCTTTCTACTTCTCCTAGCATGTTTATATCAAGGAGACAGAATGAGAAAAAAACAAAAAGAGTTATGTTACCCAAGTTGCTAAAGGAAAAATATATCTGTCAGATAGGTGATAATATTATCAAAAATTCATAAACCCAGCTCTAAGGAGTATGAAACTTATCACTGTTTTAATTGGTTGGTGATTAATTTTTTTTTCAGTATGGCAGAACATAGCCTACCACATTGATGTCTAAGTAATCAGAATATTGAAGCATAAATATTACACCCAAGAAAGCTATGTAAATTAATTCAGTCTTGTATTGTTTTTGTGAAACTTTTCCTAACTTCCTGCAAGATAGTAAAGGCTTAGAGGGAAGGAACTTTTATTTATCTTCATGTTTCTCACATAAATAAACATGCACAATGCCTTATCTATAGTACAGACACAGAAGGTAATGCATTGAAGTGAATACTCCATTAGCTTGCTCTATACACTCAGAGAGAACTATGACTCATTATAAAAGAATTATGTTAGCGATGTTCTTTTCTGCCCACTCCAACCATCAAAATCCTGATTATAATAGACAAATAATTCCCCCTGGTTCTAGGGGTTTTAAACTTGCATCTTTTTGAAGAGGATTAAAGGATTTGTTGGAAATGACAGGCTATGTTGAAAATTATATGTAGTCTATGATACACAGGCATATATAATATGTTGTGGTAGTCATCTCTAGGTATCCTCCACTGATGACAACTTCTAAGTAGTATGGCTAATGGAATCATTTTGCTTTATACTGGATTCCTATACTTAGAGGACCTAAGGATTAATCACTTCCACCAGTGGTTCTTATCCCTTGCCTGCTTTCCTGTCATGCCCTCTAGTTTCAGAATTCTTGCAGCTGTCCACAAAACTTGGTGTTTGCTTTGCTAAATGCAAAAACGGATGCTTCACACTGTAACTTTCTCTTTGTCTATCCCCAAAGTGAGCATCCTATATCTACAGCCTCTTCTGGAGATTAGCTTTTTTCTGCATGCTGTGTGCTATGATAGAGGTTTTCTAAAACCTGTTTTAGTGGAAAGAATCACTTCCAGCTTAGAATCCAAGTTGAAAATGAATTCCCCAAAGTGCAGAGATGAGGAGGTCATGGCTCACACTGTGCAACCCCATTAACTATTCCCTGGGGAACAGATACTCTGGAGTAGCACATACCTCATGCCTTTGATGAAGGCCTTAGGGAAACATTGTTTTTAAAAGAAAACAGATTCTGGGCAAGAATTAAAAGCAGTCTCATACCATAAGTGCTAGAATTCAGGCTTTTAAGCCTCATTGCTCTCAGATACATCATCAAAGTGACATTGCTGATACAGGAGCTTTTGTGGTCTGACTATAGTTTTGCAATTAGAGAGTTTCCTTTTTTAATATGCCCCTAAACTTTATCAATAGAGTATTTGGTGGTCTTGCTTCCATTTCCCTGGGAAACTGCTTCATGGTATGTTATATTTTTCCTTTTTGGCAAAGGACTCTTGCTGGTAAATAAATTCCCTGTAGACCTTGGGCTTGAATTTGGCTTGCCCTTTTCAGAGGAGTTACCTCATCCACCAAGCCTCATGATTAGGCGTGACTTGTGATTTCCCCCTATTGTGTGGCCTAAACTTTGGGTCGAGTTGAAAATGCATCTTGTTTATCTCATATCATAATCACACAAGATTGAGAAAGTAAACTTCATGAAGATGAGGTCAAGGTCTATTTTGTTTGCTGTTATATCACAAATACTGGGCACAGCTTCTGGAGTGAATTAGGTACATGATGCATATTTGTTAATGAATGGGTGGATTCATATATCTATTTTTTACTTATTTGCTTCACTGAGATATTTAATTAGTTGTGCGTTTTTGTGAATGCCTATAGGTTTGGCTTCCATAGGAATTAGCAGGTAATAGAACAGCTGTTATGAAGCACTGTGGATTTAATCATAAGCAGTCTTGCTTCTGAGTCCTTGTAGGAGCTCTAGATTTGTATCCTGGTCCGCTGTGTACTAGTGGTGTGACCATTTAGATTCTCCTTCACCTCTCAATTCCATTATTTGTAAAATGAAACTAATACTCATATCTACTTCCTACTTTATGAGAAATAATTGAGATGCTACATAGTAACTTCTTAGGATTGATTCTGCTTGCACAGAAAGTGCTCCATAAAAGCAAGTGATTAATATTATCATCATAAATTTAAAAGTTTATTATAATTCTTATTTGGATATTCATTCATTAAGAAAACTCTTACTGGACACCTGGCTTTTCCAAATAAAGAAGATTTGAAGCACAATAACTGTAAATAAATAATAGCATTATCAAAGGTCTTAGCTTATTCATGGAATGGTAAAACATTCAGAGTAGCATTCCTTCCTTTTATTTTCTTGCTGAGAATTTTGAACTTACTTCCTAGGCAACAGGTAATCACAGAGGTTTTCCAGAAAATGTATCCTAAAATATGGAAGTCAGGAGGAAAGGAATTATTGTCGTAAAGGCTGTTAGGAGGTATATAATACCTCAGAATCCTGATGAGGTATTTAGTAAACTTGTAATTGATATGTCTGGAAGGCCCTTGGGGAGGTGATCAGTGAAGGACCTATACTTATCAAAAAATCTTCTTTTTGCCAATCTTATGTGTCAATGTTATTATCTTTCAAGAATATCTTCCAAATCTGTAATTTAAGTATATACTTCTGATTCTTTTATCAAAAGTCACGAACAACTGTTATTCTATGTTGTAATCTAATGCCATAGCATTAGCTATGTGTTTTGAAATGTTATACAAACCTGTGTTTTGAAATGTTAACTTGCATAATTGTTTAAGAGGTATATTTTCTCAACTCAATTCACTTCCAAAATGTGATGGCAACTAGATCATCTGACATTAAGAGGAACTGATTTGACTATTATGCTGGTTCCAAAGAATGATGAAATGAGGGTAAAGTTAAATGACATAAATTACAATGTAAGAAAGTAAAGTATCTTCATTTATCATCTTACCTGATTTTTCAGGAATTTAACCTTTCATTTTTTTTTATTTTTTGCCTCATGAGAATATCTACATCTTAGAATTCTGCTAAGAAATCAAACATCTCATTGAATAAACTAATGATGATAAATCACAAAGCTATAACAAATTTTAAGATGTCTTCAGACCCTTTCAATGTATGCAGTGAGGACTATTTACACATGGACCCAAAAGGATTGTCAGTAATTTAAAAATAAAGCAAAATAAAACAAAACAAACCTAAAACTACATGAGGCAAATACTTACTATCTGTCTTTATTATTAATGAAGTAGTAGTCCATAATCCTTGATATGACACTAATTACTACGCAAAATTTCTTACCCTTCTGCAAGAATTTTCTGCACTCAACTGTTGAAAACCTTTCTGTCCTTCAAGAATTACATCTCTCCTGAAATCTTCATCCAAATCTTTCCATTATGATCTTTGATTGTCCTAGTCCATTTGGTCGGCTATAACAAAAGACCACAGACTAAGGAGCTGATTAACATAAGAAATTTATTTCTTACAGTACTGGAGGCTGAGAAGTCAGAAGTCAAGACAATGACATATTTGATGTCTAGTGAAGGCACTCTTTCTAGTTCACAGATGGCATCTTCTATGTGTGGCCTCACATGGTGGAAAGGATGCATGAACTCCCCTGGGCACCTTTACAAATGCACTAATCCCATTCATGAGGCCTTCATCCTCATGACCCACTCTTCATCTCCCTCAAAGACCTCAACTTCTAATATCATCACCTTAGGGGTGAGAGTTTTAACATATGAATTTTAGTGACACAAACATTCAGACCATAGCATTTATTTACTTGTTAGAGTGATCACTTTTGCTTTTCTTGCTAATCAATCATTTTCCTTTTTACTGGTAATAGCACCTTGGTTTTCTGGCATTGCATGAGGTCTCAGTGGGATGCTTATGGCTTGCCTTGCCTTGATCAAGGGGTCAGCATACAGTCAAACTAGGCTAGCAAGACTCTTTCCTAGGTATGTAATTATTCAGAAGAGTGACCCAAAGACAGAATGTTAGAGTTGATCGGCCCACCAGACTAATGCTGCGGAGAGCACAACCATTAGTTTCCCCACCTAGACTATCAGAGCTTGTTCTGCCCCCTGTTAGGAGATTCATGGGTTTTTTTTTCCTGCTTTTTATACGAATATGTAAGCTGTCTTGTGACTTCCAATCAACTGATTTGGCATGAGATACCAGAGTAGAATTCTGTTTGATTACCAAAGAAAAATGACTCCCTGTATTAGGTAATTTTTACTATATAATAATTATACGCTCCACTCTAATATAATATACTATATATATTATAATGTAATTTAGAATCCTTCAGGACTAGAACCAAATAGGACATTTTATTTTTACAGCATCCCTCAACATAGCAGTCAGCTGTATTTTATGCTTAATAAATAATTGTGTAAATGATGCCTTGTTTTCAAAAATGACTTGCAGCTTTCAATTTACTTCATGAAATGAACTTAATTTGTTTTCATATTCACTGTGTGCATTTTCCCAAGGCAGGTATTATAATCATGCCTAAAGGCAGCATGGTAAATATGTAAGAGCCCAGGCAGAGTGAGGTATGAACCCTACTCCGTTACTTATAAGCTCTGTCTGCTGGGGCATCTTATTCAATGTCCCTATAGTTTATCTCCTCCTCTATCAAATAATAAATTAAAAAGTTCTTTCTTCAAGTTATGATGCTAGTATATGAAGATGTAAAAGGAGTAATATAAAATGGGTACTACAATGTTTGAACTAATTTACACTGCCACTAATAGTGTAAAAGGGTTCTTATTTCTCCACAGCCTCACCAGCATCTGTGGTTTCCTGACATTTTAATAATTGTCAGTCTAGCTGGCATGAGATGGTATCTCACTGTGGTTTTTATTTGCATTTCTCTAATGACCAGTGATGATGAGCTTTTTTTCATGTTTGTTGGCCACATCAATGTCTTCTTTTGAGAATTGTCTGTTCATATCCTTTGCCCACTTTTTGATGGGGTTGTTTGTTTCTTATAAATTTGTTTAAGTTCCTTGTAGATTCTGGATATTAGCCCTTTGTCAGATGGGTAGATTACAAAAATTTCTCCCATTCTGTAGGTTGCCTGTTTACACTGATGATAGTTTCTTTTGCTGTGCAGAAGCTCTTTAGTTTAATTAGATCCCATTTGCCAATTTGGGCTTTTGTTGCAATTGCTTTTGGTGTTTTAGTCATGAAGTCTTTGCTCACGCCTATGTCCTGAATCGTATTGCCTAGGTGTTCTTCTAGTTTTTATGGTTTTAGGTTTTACATTTAAGCCTTTAAACCACTGAGGAAGACAGTGTGGTGATTTCTCAAGGATCTAGAAACAGAAATACCATTTGACCCAGGAATCCCATTACTAGGTATATACCCAAAGGATTATAAATCTTTCTACTATAAAGACACATGCACATGTAGGTTTATTGCAGAACTATTTACAATAGCGAAGACTTGGAACCAACCCAAATGCCCATAATTAATAGACTGGATAAAGAAAATGTTGCACATATGTACCATGGAATACTATGCAGCCATAAAAAAGAATGAGTTTACATTCTTTTCAGGGACATGGATGAAGCTGGAAACCATCATTCTCAGCAAACTAACACAGGAACAGAAAACCAAACACCATGTGTTCTCACTCATAAGTTACAGTTGAACAATGAGAATACATGGATACAGGGAGGGGAACATCATACACTGGGGCCTGACCAGGGCTGCAGGGACAAAGGGAGGGAGAGCATTAGGACAAATACATAATGCATGCGGGGCTTAAAACCTAGATGACAGGTTGATGGGTGCAGCAAAGCACCATGGCACATGTATAGCTATATAACAAACCTGCACGTTCTGCATATGTATCCCAGAACTTAAAGTTAAAAAGAAGAAGAAAAAAGAATTCTAGATGTTTAAAATCAAACAAAATTTAAGATTGTCTTTGGCTACTACTGGCCATAGGAATTCACAGATTGTAGTGATAACAGTGATCTTATATATTTTGTTTCTCCAAGAAATGCATGGAAATCAAAGCTGATGCATGATTACAAGGTCATCTCTCACCATGTTCCTAAACCTAGTGTCTATTATTCTCCAGATTTTATGTCGCCTTTACCTAATTTTATGATGCATTCACCTTTGCCTGGAAATCTTGTTGAAGTCACTGACAAAAATTTTTAAGAATAAATTTAAAGACTGTATTCTTTTTTAAAAAAAGGGGTACTAGTACTTAGCGGTGGCTCACGCCTGTAATCCCAGTACTTTTGGAGGCAGAGGCAGACAAATCATGAGGTCAGGAGTTTGAGGCCAGCCTGACCAATATAGTGAAACTCCATCTCTACTAAAAGTATAAAAAAATTAGCCAGGCACGGTGGCGGGCACCTGTACTCCCAGCTACTCGGGAGGCTGAGGCAGGAGAATTGCTTGAACCCGGGAGGTGGAGGTTGTAGTGAGCTGAGATCACACCATTGCATTCCAGCCCAGGCGACAGTGTAAGACTCTGTCTCAAAAAAAAAAAAGTTAATTATAATTAATGTCATTTTAAAATAAAGAAAATGAGGTGCGCAGTGTTTAAATAGATGTTTCCCCTTCTTACAGTCAATAAGAGGCTGAGTGGGGAAGAGAACTTGGAGTCTGTGTACCTCTAGGCCACTGGACATTCCATTCTACCAAGACTCTGCTCTTTCTTTACTTATTGACATGTGGCCTCCTTTACTTATAGAAATAAGAAATTTCCTGCTCTTTGCCTATCTCTATGGATCTAATCGCCTAAGCCTTTGTTTATTTTAATCAAATAGGAAAAAATACCCAATGATTAAAAATATAAACAGCTGAAAATCATTTGTACCAACTTAATTTCATAACCAATTAAAACCAAAAAAATTAATTAGAAGTTTTTTTAGCCTGACAACACTTAATTATTAACACTTACTTGGCTTCAAAATTTGTATCATGATTTACCAAAACAATAAATATATAAGAATTTTTAGTGGAGATCTAGGAAAGGTACAGGCTTGCAAACAACATAATTCAGTTTTCATCCCTATGGGAGGTAAAGCGAATTTGCAGACTGCTTTTGCAGCTGGCTCATGGTAATACTTTATTTCCCAAGTCTTAAGCTTTGGGTGCACTATGTACAACGAAGGCAATAGGAAGCTTTCTGAGCTGCGGCTGAGAAAAAAGCAAATCTATTTGTCATTCTATAAGTAAAGCTGGCCCTGAGCATGAGGTTGGTATAAATATATCTTCATCTTGCTGCTCGTCACACCAACCACCCCTTCTCAATCAACCCCAAATCACAGTACAATTTGAACATATAATAGAAAGTTATTCTACTATAACAGGTGTATTAGTCCAGTGAGTTGTATAAGACATGTATGGTGTTTCTTTAGTACTTAATATTTCATCCTTTTCAGGACTAACTGGGCAAAAGTTCCCAGGGTTTTTCCTAAATTTTTAATAGGAGAAAAAGTGGAAAATAGTTTAGCTTTTTCTACCACAAAATTAAGTTTGTTACAGCTTAATTTTCAGGTGAACACACAGGAGTTTAGCTGTATTTACAGGATTGACTATTTTTCAACATTCATGATAGGAGAATTTTTCCTCTAATTTTAACAAGAACTGGATTCTTTAATTTTAAATTGCTTACATTGAATTTAATTATTAAAATTGAATTTCTTAAACATTTTAATTTCTTATTAATTCTATAAATATTTATGGGATACCTATTATGTGATTGTCACTATACTGCCTACAAAGAAGAATAATTCATCACTCTTTCTATTCATTGTTTGCTAAATATTTTTGAGTGTTCACTTTTTTCCAGGCACTGGTGATACAATAGAGAACAATACACACAAATGGCCCCTCTTTCATGCTTACATTAAACAGAGGAGACAGTCTATAGACCTAATAAACACATTACATAATATCATAGAGATTAATAAGGTAAGGTTGCTGGGCCTGCTGATAGGGTGGTTTGCAGTTTAAATAGGGTGGTAATGGCAGGTGTTTCTAAGCTATTGGGATCTTACCAGAGTTTTAAAGAGAAGGAGATAGTGAGCCATAGGCATATATGGCAGAAGTGGCAAGCAACACCAATATCTTGGGAAGAAAGCATGTCTGAGGTAGTAGAGGAAGAACTAGGAGGCCCACATGGTTGGGGAGAAGAGAGTGGGAGGTTGAACAATGAGTGACAAGTCCTTGTTTTTATTGAGCTCATAGTCCAGTGGGAAAAGGCAAGAATACTGATCCTAAAAGTGCAGGGTTTACTATATTCAAACTAATCTTAGGTATGAATGGGGCTTCTGAATAAGACTAGAGGCATCCTAGAGGTGGTGACCAAGAGATAAGTGAGATCTGAAGGTTGAGTACAAGTTAGCTGGATAAGATGGTGGGGGCAATCCAGAAAAAATAAAACAGAAACAGGTATATGGCTGAGGTGGGTGGAAGACTTGAGGTCAGGAGTTCGAAACCAGCCTGGCCAACATGGTGAAACCTCGTCTCCACTAAAAATACAAAAATTAGCCAGGTGTGGTGGTATGCGTTTGTAATCTCAGCTACTCGGGAGGCTGAGGCAGAGAATCGCTTGAACTCGGGAGGCAGAGCTTGCAGTGAGCTGAGATCGCGTCACTGCACTCCAGCCTGGGTGACAGAGTGAGACTCTATCTCAAAAAAAAAAAAAAAAAAGAAGAAGAAGAAGGAGAGATAGAAAAAAGAGAGAGAAAAGAAATAAAGAAAGAAAGAGAAAGAAAAAAAGAAAAAAAAGAAATAAATAGGTATATGTAAAGCCTGGAAAGACAACACAAAACATACATTCAGGAAATGGCTAGAAGTCCTTTATGACTGAGGAAGAGTTGATTAAGAACAGGAGACAAAAATAAAGATAGGCTTTGTGTAACAAACTAAAGGATTTGAATTTCATCCTCAAAGTAATAGGGTGCCATTTAATATCTTTAATCAGGGGAATGATGATGATCAAACAGATATCATTCATTGCAGATGAATAGAAGCTGAATCAGCCTATAGGCAGTTGGAATCCTATAACTATAAAAATAATTTAAAAAAACTGGACTTGGGAAAAAAGGGGTAGTAATAAATATGAAAGCTATCAACATAGTTTAATAGACAGGTATTAGATACAGATTTAATATAGGAGAGAAGTCAAAAAGAAGTTGTTAATTTAAATCCCTAATTTTTCTTTTAAACATGTAGAGGCATAGGAATGAGATTCACAGGCAGAGGAAGAACAAGTTTGTGGGAAAAGATGACGGTATCTTTTTGAGACAGGCTGAATTTGAACTACTTGAGGAATAGTCAAGCTGAGACACCCAGAAGTGGTATATATAAATTGTACATAAGGAGAGGATTCTGGAGTTGTCATGTGTCTGGTGAAGTTGAAACCATGGGTTTGGATAAAGTTTACAGAGACATATGTAGAATTAGTATAGTAGAAAGCCAACTACAGCACCTTGGGAACACTTAATGGTTATGGTGTGAATGGAGAAAGGCAGCCAGCAAGAAGACTACTAAGAAACAGCCAGAAAAATTGCGATAATAATAATAATAACAACAACAGTAATAATAATAGATGTGATCAAGACTTACAATTGTGAGAATTATAAAATGGCTAGGTTTTATTGCATATTTACTCTATGTACTTTACATTGGTTAAAGCATTCAGCCTCAGGGCTTAATTCCCGTATAAAATGAACTATTGTAATTCTCCATTTTATATCTCAGGAAATGGAGATACTGATAGTTAAATTAAACTTGTTGAGCCAGACACTGCTAATAACACTACATGTAAATAATTTAACTCTCACTACCATACTATCACCTCCTTTTACATACATGATAATTGAGGCACAGACTATGGAACCAGTAAACATGCAGCTGTAGTATGGTTAAAACTTCTAAATGCTTAACCCTTATATTTCTGTTTTGTGAAATGGTGACAAAATGTGCTTTTACTTTCACCATGTAAATATGACTGGGAAATAACAAGAACCATTTCAATGGGGTGATAGTGGCAAGAACACAGGCTATACGCAATTGAAAATTTAAGTGAGAAGCGAATGTAGACAGCACCTTCAAGAGTAAACAGACAAAAACTGATGAAACAGAAGGTAATGATACATGTGGATTAAGAAAGAGTTTTTTATTCGGTTGTTTTTTGTTGGTTTGTTTAAGAGGAAAGTAGGGTGAGCTGAGAATTCCAACAGAAAGCTGGAATGATGATACAACCAAGAGATAGAAGGACTGATGGAATAAAGTCCCAAGGAAGGTTGGGAGAAATGGGATATGAAACGCAGGGAATCATTTACCACACAAAAACAAACCAAAATAAAAGACCTCATTAGCTGATATCTGCTTAGATGCTAAAGACAACAGGAAGACTTTCTGGAATATGTTCAGCAGGTCCAAGCATTTCCCTTTGCTTCTCTGAAAGAAATGTAACTGAGGCAAAGACCATCTGGCACAACTCCTCTCTGGGCTCTGTTTGCATTGCTCCTGAAAGGATCTGAGGCCTGAGTAAAAGCTGGCTCTGTTCCTGAGTTGTCCTTGGAATTCAAGTGGTTCCAAAGATGCTAGAATAAAATTTATTTTTAAATCCACCACACAATGGGCACTAAATTTCTTTATTTCCTTTTCAACTAAATTAGAAACCCTGGGAATGACCTACAGGCCAGTGAGTTTCTCTGAGGTTTCTAATCCACAACAGAATTTCTGAGCTGACCACAAGAATAGTCTTAGAAATACAATACAGCACACTGATGGGTCTTGACTCTTTATCCAATTTGCCGGTCTGTGTCTTTTAATTGGAGCATTTAGGCCATTTACATTTAAAGTTAATACTGTTATGTGTGAATTTGATCCTGTCATTATGATGTTAGCTGGTTATTTTGCTCTTTAGTTGATGCAGTTTCTTCCTAGACTCGATGGTCTTTACAATTTGGCATGATTTTGCAGTGGCTGGTACCAGTTGTTCCTTTCCATGTTTAGCTTCAGGAGCTCTTTTAGGGCAGGCCTGGTGGTGACAAAATCACTCAGCATTTGCTTGTCTGTAAAGTATTTTATTTCTCCTTCACTTATGAAGCTTAGTTTGGCCGGATATGAAATTCTGGGTTGAAAATTTAAAACTCTCAATAAATTAGGTATTGATGGGACATATCTCAAAATAATAAGAGCTATCTATGACAAACCCACAGCCAATATCATACTGAATGGGCAAAAACTGGACGCATTCCCTTTGAATGGCACAAGACAGGGATGCCCTCTCTCACCACTCCTATTCAACATAGTGTTGGAAGTTCTGGCCAGGACAATTAGGCAGGAGAAGGAAATAAAGGGTATTCAATTAGGAAAAGAGGAAGTCAAATTGTCCCTGTTTGCAGATGACATGATTGTATATCTAGAAAACCCCATTGTCTCAGCCCAAAATCTCCTTAAGCTGATAAGCAACTTCAGCAAAGTCGCAGGATACAAAATCAATGGACACAAATCACAAACATTCTTATACACCAATAACAGACAAACAGAGAGCCAAATCACGAGTGAACTCCTATTCACAATTGCTTCAAAGAGAATAAAATACCTAGGAATCCAACTTACAAGGGACATGAAGGACCTCTTCAAGGAGAACTACAAACCACTGCTCAATGAAATAAAAGAGGATACAAAGAAATGGAAGAACATTCCATGCTCATGGGTAGGAAGAATCAATATCGTGAAAATGGCCATACTGCCCAAGGTAATTTATAGATTCAATGCCATCCCCATCAAGCTACCAATGACTTTCTTCACAGAATTGGAAAAAACTACTTTAAAGTTCATATGGAACCAAAAAAGAGTCCGCATCACCAAGTCAATCCTAAGCCAAAAGAACAAAGCTGGAGGCATCACGCTACCTAACTTCATACTATACTACAAGGCTACAGTAACCAAAACAGCATGGTACTGGTACCAAAACAGAGATATAGATCAATGGAACAGAACAGAGCCCTCAGAAATAATGCTGCATATCTACAACTATCTGATCCTTGACAAACCTGAGAAAAACAAGCAATGGGGAAAGGATTCCCTATTTAACAAATGGTGCTAGGAAAACTGGCTAGCCATATGTAGAAAGCTGAAACTGGATCCCTTCCTTACACCTTATACAAAAATTAATTCAAGATGGATTAAAGACTTAAACGTTAGACCTAAAACCATAAAAACCCTAGAAGAAAACCTAGGCATTACCATTCAGGACATAGGCATAGGCAAGGACTTCATGTCTAAAACACCAAAAGCAATGGCAAGGAAAGCCAAAATTGACAAATGGGATCTAATTAAACTAAAGAGCTTCTGCACAGCAAAAGAAACTACCATCAGAGTGAACAGGCAACCTACAAAATGGGAGAAAATTTTCACAACCTACTCATCTGACAAAGGGCTAATATCCAGAATCTACAATGAACGCAAACAAATTTACAAGAAAAAAACAAACAACCCCATCAAAAAGTGGGCGAAGGACATGAACAGACACTTCTCAAAAGAAGACATTTATGCAGCCAAAAAACACATGAAAAAATGCTCACCATCACTGGCCATCAGAGAAATGCAAATCAAAACCACAATGAGATACCATCTCACACCAGTTAGAATGGCAATCATTAAAAAGTCAGGAAACAACAGGTGCTGGAGAGGATGTGGAGAAATAGGAACACTTTTACACTGTTGGTGGGACTGTAAACTAGTTCGACCATTGTGGAAGTCAGTGTGGCAATTCCTCAGGGATCTAGAACTAGAAATATCATTTGACCCAGACATCCCATTACTGGGTATATACCCAACGGACTATAAATCATGCTGCTATAAAGACACATGCACACGTATGTTTATTGCGGCGCTATTCACAATAGCAAAGACTTGGAACCAACCCAAATGTCCAACAGTGATAGACTGGATTAAGAAAATGTGGCACATATACACCATGGAATACTATGCAGCCATAAAAAAGGATGAGTTCATGTCCTCTGTAAGGACATGGATGAAATTTGAAATCATCATTCTCAGTAAGCTATCGCAAGAACAAAAAAACAAACACCGCATATTCTTACTCATAGGTGGGAATTGAACAATGAGTACACATGGACACAGGAAGGGGAACATCACACTCTGGGGACTGTTGTGGGGTTGGGGGAGGGGGTAGGGATAGCTTTAAGAGATATACCTTATGCTAAATGACGAGTTAATGTGTGCAGCACACCAGCATGGCACATGTATACATATGTAACTAACCTGCACATTGTGCACATGTACCCTAAAACTTAAAGTATAATAATAAAAAAAAGAATACATATATGGCTCTTTGTGACTTTGAAATCTAAAGCGATTGTAGGATTATAGACTTGAAATATCAGATAATATGAAAGACAATCACCAGATATATTCTTGCTTCTTTCAAACACAATTCAGTTTCTTCTAAACTACTTCTAAAAATGAAGATGCTAGGCACTTTGGTCACTTACTAATAAAAAGTTATTGCTTAAAAATTTTGCTACAAATTTATAACCATTTGATTAAATACAATGTTGAATTTAGCACAGGTTCAGAATTAAACATGGCAAAAATAATAGTTAATAAAGCCTATGTTGATCTTTTCACATTGATAATAATTTAATTTTCATATGTAATATAATTGTAATGCCTTCATTTTCCCACAATTCCCACAATACCGAACAACTGACAAATAGATACAAAAAGGAAATTGATAGAAACATTCATGCTATGTACATGCAGTTTGCCTTCAGAAGCTTAGTACTAAGGAATAATATGCTTATCTTATCCTGCTATATGACTTACTTGTCTCTTGAATGGTTTCTATTCATCTGTATGTTACATGTCTACTGATAGGCCAAACAATTACCTTAACTGTGCTTCATGGCTGTCATGCCATTCTGGTACTTATCTATATTTCTACAGTCTGAGAAAAGTCTTATCACTTATCTCTTCAGATACTCCATTCAAGCGTATTTCTTAACCTTTCTTTATACTTCATGCACCATCAAACTTTCTACTTTTACAATGGAGTTTAGACTAACATGAAGGCATCACTATTTTTTTTTTTTCCTGCAATCTCCAGTACTCACTTCCTTAAAATGGTTGGTAGCTTTATGAACTAACATTTCTTGTAAGACCTATCATTGTCAACTTAGACATCTTGTTTTTTAAGTGAAGAATTTATTAGAGAAATAGCAGTTTCAGGTAATAATAAACAATAAAAATCTATTGTAAGATCTGTTCATTCAGGAATAATAAGTAATGTAGTGTCTATTTAAATATTAAAAGTTTTTATCTCTGTGAAAAATATAGAACTTACTTTATTTTATATTCCAATATAGCTTCCTCAAGATAAAATAACTCAATTTCACATGGAAGCCAAATAACAGGAACAGAAATGAAAGCATATTTATTGTACAATAGTTACATCGCCCTTGATGAATAATGTTGCAAGTTCATGAAGCAGTGTTAATTTTTCATGTCCATAAATAAAATGCTTTGTTAATTTAACAAAAATATACTAAATTATTTTTAAATTTTACAAATAGGATACATGAATGGCAACATGAAAGAGAGAAAAATGTGTATGTGTGTGTGTACGTGTGATAGGAGTAAAGTGAATAAAGTAAGAGAGGATTCAAAGCCTACTTAGAATGAGTACTAGGGTCTTAGAGCTGATAAATTACTTCACAAAAGAAAATAAAACAATAACAAAAAATTACAAACCAATAAACAGGCAACAATTGATTCCAAGAATCAATGATCCCATCATAAAACAAATGATAATTTATCAATTTTATAACCTAGATATCATACCTATTAAAGCTAGGTATTTCTGAGACCATTTTTTACAACCAGCAAAACATCTTGTTTTTACATTTATCACTGATATATGGGAGCTTTCATTTATAAAAGGCTGGGTTATCTGATGGGAAATTGAACCAGCATCTTAAATTTTCACTACTTGATGTTATGGCTCAATGTCATTCTAAATCAAATGTTTTATTACTTGACGGTTGCAAAGTAAAACTATCATTCCAACACCATGGCTTAAGTGACCTCACTTGTGCTCTTTTCTTGCTGGAATTTACTTACCCAAATTAAGTAAAATAAACAGTTAATATTGAAGTATGTTTTTACTCCATGAATTTTAATATAAAGGTTTGATTTAAATGTCTTTTCAATTCCACAATTAATTTTGCCAACTATATTTGGAAATTTGGAGGTTCCCCAAAAAATGAAAAATAGAACTACCATATGATCCAGAAATCCCAGTGCTGGGTGTATATCCAAAAGAAAGGAAATCAGTACATCAAAGAAATACCTGTACTCTCATGTTTTTGCAACATTATTCATAATAGCCAAAACGTGGAAGCAATCTAATTGTTCATCAGTAGACAAATGGATAAAGACAATGTGGTACATAATTTTAAAATGTATGCACAATGGAGTATTATTTAGAAGTAAAATTAAATGAAATTCTGTCATTTGCAACAAAAGGGATGAAACTGAAGGACATTGTGATAAGTGAAGTAAGCTAGACACAGAAGGGCAAACTTCGCATGTTCTCATTTATTTGTGGGAGCTAAAAATTAAAACGATTGAACTCATGAACACAGAGGGTAGAATTATGGTTACCAGGTGTTAGGAGGGGGTACTGGGTGGGGGTAGGGGGAAAGTGGGGATGCTTAATATATGAAGATATAGTTAGAGAGAATGAATAAGATCTAGTATTTGATAGCACAAGAGGGTGACTACAATAAACAATAATTTATTGTACATTTTAATAACCAAACAAGTATAATTGGAATGTTTATAACACAAAGAAATGATTTACAAATGCTTGAGGTGATGGATATCCCATTTACCCTAATATGATTATTATATATTGTATGCCTGTATCAAAATATCTCATGTACTCCATAAAAATATAAATACCATATATATATATATATATATATATACACACACATACATACCTAATATGTACCCACAGAAATTAAAACTTAAAAACTTATAACACACTGTTAATCTTTCTCCCAATCTGCCCCATAAGGATCTACAGTCTTTGACCAGGGAAAATGTGTACTGAAGAAAAGGAAATAATCAGATGTTTTAGGGACTATAGAGACTGACTTTGAACTGTCAATAATTCCAGGAGACACCAAATGTTTCTGTGGTCCACCACTCAGAGTACGGGCTTATGGAGGTCAGGTGATCAATGGAGTTTTAGCTCAAGTCCATTTCACAGTAGGCCCAGCAGTTCCCTGAACTCATCCTGTGTTTATTTCTGCAGTTCTGAATGCATAACTGGAATGGATATACTCAGCAGCTGATAGAATCCCTATATTGGTTTCATAACCTGAAAAGTAAGGTCTATTATGATAGAAAAGGCCAGTGGAAGCCACTGGAACTGCCTTTACCTAGGAAAGTAGTATATCATAAGCAATTCTGCATTCCTGGAGGAATTGCAGAGATTAGTTTCACTATCAAGAACATGAAAGATGCAGAGGTGATAATTCTCACCACATCCCCATTTGAATAGACTATTTGGCCTGTGCAAAAGACAGAAGGATATTGGAGAATGACAGTGGATTACCCTAAGCCTACACAGGTGGTGACTCAAATTGCAGCTGCTGTATCAGATGTGGTTTTATTGCTTGAGAAACAGCACAACCTCTTGTACTTGTTATGCAGTTATTAATCTGTCAAATGCCTTTTACTTCATCCTTATCAATAAGGCCTACCTAAAGCAGTTTGTGTTTGGCTGGTAAGGCCAGCAATGCTTTTGCACTACCCTGAGTCTCATGGCTATATCAACTCTCCAGCCCTATGTCCTAAATTAGTTTGCAGGAACCTTGATCACACTTCCCTTCTATAACTTACCACATTAGTTTATTACATTAATGACATCATATTGATTAGACCTAACGAACTTATGGGTAAGACATTTGCAAATAAGATGGTACGGAGTAAATCCAACAAAAGTTCAGAGGCCTTCTACCTCAGTAAAATGTTTAGGGGCTAATGGTATTGGTCATGTCGAGATATATTTTCTAAGGTGAAGGATAAGTTGTTGCATCAATGTATTCCTCACTGATGTGTGTTACTCCAGCACATTGACTTAATGACTTGAAAATCTACTGGTTTTGAGATTTTTTAGTAGGGTTCAGAACAGAAAAAGGCTCTGCAGTAAGTCCAGGCTACTGTGCAAGCTGCTGTGTCACTTGGGTTATATGATCTATCAAATCAATGGTGCTTGGAGTATCGATGGCAGAGGATGCTGCTTGGAGTTTTTGGCAGGCCCCTTTAAGTGATCACAGCAAAATCCCTTAGAATTTTGGAGCAATGCCTTGTCATCCTCCTTGGATAACTACTCTACTTTTGGAAAACATCTTTTGGCCTACTGGACCTTATTAGGTCTGAACACTTAACCATTTGCCACAAAGTTACCATGCAACCTGAGCATTGGCTTGTTGATCATAGAGCTCCTAAAAGTAAAAGAGATAGATGGCTACTAAATTCTTACTTGGTGTGTATGAACAGTTCTAGGTTAAGTGAGCAAAGTCTAACCTGGATTATAAAAATAGAGAGTCAAGTCCTCACAATACATTTGAACTGGGTATTATCTGACCTGTCAAGTCATAAAGCTAGGCAATCCCAGCAGCGCTCCACTGGGGTCAAGCTGGTCCTAAAGGCATGGCAAGATATATGAAGAAGTGGCCCAAATGCCCACTGGCGTCACACCAATTACACAGTTTTTGTGTGTAATTGATATGAGGACCATGGACATTTCTCTCCCAACCTGCACCTATGGCCTCATTGGAAAATATCTATGATCATCAAACAGAGAGAAAGAAGACTCATGCCAGGTTTACAGATGGTTCTGTGTGAAATGCAGGCAAGACCTGGTAAAATTCAGGTGCAGCACTATAGGCTCTTTTGGGATATCCTTAAAAGATAGTGGTGAAGAGAAATCTTTCCAACTGGCAGAACTTCAAACATTTCATCTAGTTGTTCATTTTGTTTGGAAGGAGAAATGGCCAATTATGCAGTAATATACTAATTCATGGTCTGTGGCCAATGGTGTTTGTTTGGATGGTCAGGCACTTGGAGGAAAAATAATTGAAAAATTGGTAACAAATTTTGGGAAGAAGTACGTGCATAATTCTGTCTTAAAGGGCAAAATATATGAACATATTTGTATTCCATATGAACGTTCACTAAAGGGTGACCTCAGCAGAGGAGGATTTTAATAACCAAGTAGATAGTACTAATTGTTCTATGAATACTAGCTCTTTCTCAGTCTACTGCTGTCACTGTCCAATGGGCTCATGAACAAAGTGGCCATGGTGGCAGGAATAAATGTTATCCACGGGCTCAGCAATATGGACTCCTACTTACGAAGGCCTACCTGGTTATGGCCACCACTGATGCACAGTCTGCCAGAAGCAGAGACCAACATTGATTTCCTGATATGGTATCATTCCCTAAGGTAATCAGTCTGCTGCTTGCTGGTATGTTGATTACATTGGACCACTTCTAGCATGGAAGGAGCAGCATTTTGTTCTTACTGAAATAGACATTCTGGATATGGATTTGCCTTCCCTCCGTGCAATGCTTCTGCCAAAACTACCATCCGTGAACTTTTAGAATGCCTTATTTATAGTCATGTTAATCCATCAATTATTGCTTCCAATTAAGGCAGTCACTTCATAGCAAATAAAGTGCAGTAATGGGATTTTCGTGGAATTCATTGGTCTTACCATGTTCTGCATTAACCCAAAGCAGCTGCTTTGATAGATTAGTGGAAAGGCATTTTAAAAACTCAGTTACAGCACCAAGTAGGTGGCAATTCTTTGCAGCTAGGGCAAGGTTCTTCAGAAGCCTGTATATAATCTGAATCATTGTCCAGTATACGGTACTGCTTATCCCATAGACAGAATTCATGGGTCCAGAAATCCAGAAGAGGAAGTAGGAATGACATCACTCAGTATTACTCCTAATGGCTCATTAGCAAAATGCTTGCTCTCTGTTCCTATAATTTTATGTGTTGCTGATCTAAAGGTTTTATCTCCAAATGGAGAAATACTTCCAACAGAAGACCCAACAATGATTCCACTGAATTAGCAATGAAGACTGCCACTTGACCACTTTGGCTTTCTAATGCCTCTGATTTAACAGGGAAAGAAGGGAGTTACTATGTTGGCTGTGGTGATTGATCCTATTGGGGGATATTGGATAGTACTCCACAATGGAGGAAAGGGATAATATGTATGCAATACAGGAGATACCTTAGGGCATCTTGTAGTATTACCATGCCCTGTGATTATCAATGGAAAAGTACAACAACCCAATCCAGGCAAGACTGCTAATGACTCCGACCCTTCCAGAATGAAGGTGTGGGTCATCCCACCAGGTAAAGAAGTATGACCCCCTGAGGTGCTTGCTGAAGGCAAAAAGTATATAGAATGGGCAGTAGAAGAAGGTAGTGATAAATACCAGCTATGACCATGTGACCAGTTGTAGAAAAAGAACTGTAATAATCATACTTCCTCCTTGTTTTGTTTTGAGTGTTCATGTGTGTATGTGTGTGTGTGTGTGTGTGTGTGTGTATTCAAATTAGGAAAGAGTTTTTCTATAACGAAATCTAGGAATTTGTAGTGCTGTTAAGATAAATTGTATTGTTCAATTAGTTACTTGATTTTCAATTACAAAATGGTTTCAATTACAACTAAGTCATTCAAACAGAATGCACATTTAAAAGTTGTCAAATATTTTCTAAGTATTATTAGGAAAGAACACACTGTTTAATAAAGCAAATTGACTTTTTAGAACTTCAACATACTATTACAAAAACTCACAGATGGATTGCTAAGGATTCTCTTTAATTATACTTTGGGGTTCCACAGAATTCAAATACATTTCATAGAAATTTTTATTCAATATATGCATTTCCTGTTTTTGTTTTATCCACCAAACACATTACCCAAATAAAAAAGCCACATTACAGATATTATTTCTTCATAAAACATTGTTACATAGAATACTATTTTATCCAGATCACTGCTTTATGCCATTCCTTGTTTCTCTAAACCTACTCAGATTTCAAATATCATCTTCTGCCACCTGGCAGGAGATTCTTAGACACCTTGAAGGTCATTTTGGGAAACACCAGATATAAACTTGCTTTTCCTTTGCCATAGAATTCACTATCTTGAAAACCATTTTATTTTACAAAGGAATATATATTAAAACATTCAGATGATAAGAGATCAATCCAGTGTTACAATGTGCTAGGTATATTATAAAATGTCTCAGTTATTTAGGAACAAAAAGGCAATCATTAATAAAAATGTCATCCAGAAGAGTGAATTTTACTTTTGGAGTAGAGGTAATCCATAATTGGATCATATGCTGCCCAGTGCCCAACCACATAGCCTGCTCCTGATTGTTTACATGCAGAGGATAGTAGAGAAAGTATATCTGGTTAGAACAATTAGATATTCTTTTGTAAAAAAAAATTGAGAAGACAAATTTAATACATATTGACTATATTAATAAGGGTATGATGTTATGATTTATTAATATGGCATGTATATGTTAATATGGATATATGTGATTGAACCACAACAAACATCTCTCTTAAAATCTAGCTTTTTTTTGTAAGTCAAAATGCTGTTGAAGCATGCATGTACCACTAAAGGCTACTGCAGCCAAAATATTTTAAATTTATAATTATAAATGAAATGAAGCTACTAATAATTTATACTCAAAAGTACAAATGAAAGCCATTGAGAACAAAAAACAAATTCACTCTGAATGTACTAATTTCCAAGTGTCCTTAAACCACATTACAAACTAGTCATTGACTAGTATAACATATAGCAGACAGATTTCTTAGTAGAATAGAGTTAAAATTCTCAGTACAAAATGGAAATATCTTAATTTTAGTTTTGTTTACAAAATCTCTTTTTCCACATAAACAATATGGAGCTGATTTAAAAATTCTTAATAATATGTATTTTAATATTGATTGTGTGTTTTCTTTGCAAACAATCTTACCTCTATTATATTGACTTTAAATCATTTGTTCACCAATAGAGTAAAAATGATGGAAATCAATTAAGTTATACAGAGTGCTTCTATAACTATTATATTCAAATAAGTGATTTTTATCAGGGATTGCAGGATAGACTGTAGATCCTCCATTGTCAAGGACCTTGGGCAGAGTTTTACATGACTACCAGGAACCATATTTAAGCTGCATATGTGATACATGTACATTATTTTGTGTTTTTCTAAGATTTCAAAATTTAGAATATTGATAATATAATCATGGGGCTAAGCACTTATAAAATTATTATTAGAATTATTATACATGCTTGGTAAAAATATATTAATATCAATACAATAAAAAATGCAAGTTACCAGGACATGAAAATTTCAATCTCCCAAAACTTATCTTTCATTTCAGAAAATTGCATCAAAGCTACATTTATTGCAAAATATAATTTTCTTGGTGAGAATGCAAATGCTAATTTTTATAGGTAATAATTATCTTGGAGACAACATTCCTTCCACTACTTCTTTATAGCTCTCTCATTATCAAATCATCTATATTTCTTCTTTTTATAATTCTAAATTTTCATTTAACCAGCCTAATTCTTGTTCTCACTCACCATTCCTTCTGGATACTACATTAACTGGTTTTTATTTAACTAATATAATACTTGGCTTTTACTTAATGTGTTTTAATACATATTGTAAACATGTTATGGCAAGTATATAATCTGAGCATATTGCCTACTTTGTTCAATGGGCTTCTTTAGTGTCCCCCCAAAACAAAATATACTATTATAAAAAACAAGTTTAAACTCCATAAAGACACAAGTTCCTCTAAACAAGGTGTATGTATTTAAGTGAAGTTAAAGCAGGTGACCTGATATATTTTCTGTCTTCATCCAGGACATACCCCAAAGAAAGAAAAGATGCCAGGTGACCCAGCCTAATCTTTTCATCATCTGGTTCTTTGGGTAAATCAACTGATTAGACTTGCCATAAGGAAGAGACCTGATCTCTAAAATGCCCGGAGAATAATGCCCTGGCAGCAGATTCTTATTTTAAATAGAACTCAGTATGTACGAGGCCTAGCCTCCTGGAGAATGTCATGAAACTTATGAAGTCGTCGGGGCATAAAATGTAAAAGTTTTATAATTTAAATTCATCCCACTGTGTTAGTGCCCTGGTTTCAATGGCCCCTCAAAAACCCATGTTGCAATTTAATTACCATTGTAATGGAATAAAGGATTGGGACCCCTAAGAGGTGATCAGGGCATAAGGGCTCTGCCCTCAACAAATGAATAATGCTAGTATTGGGGGAATGAGTTGCAGATAAAAGGATAAAGTTGGGCTAGCTTCCCAGTCTGTCTCACAAACTCAATTGTGCTTTTGCCTTCTGCTACGGGATGATGCAGCACAAAGGCCCTCACCTCCAGAATCATGAGCCAAATAAATTTCTGTATATTACAAATTAGCCAGTCTGTGTTATTGTGTTGTAGCAACACAAGTCAGACTAAAAAAAATTGATACCGAAGAGTGGGATTATTGCCATAACAGCCTGAAAATGTAGATGCGCTGTTGGAATTGGGTAACGGATACAGGTTAGAAGAATTTGAAGAAGTAACTTAGAAAAAAGCCTGGATTGCCATTAATGCAGCATTAAGTGCAATTCTGGCGATGGCTCAGAAGAAGATCCTAGAACTAGGAAGAGCCTAAAACTTCTTAGGTATTACCTAAGTGATCATAGTCAGAATGTTGTCAGAAAGATGGACTGTGAAGTCCAATCAAAGTCTAAGATGGAACCAAAGAACAAAGTATTGGAAACTGGAGTAAAAGACATCCTTGTTATATAGTTGCGGATAATTTGGGTTAATTGTATCGAAGTCCAAAGGCTTCATAAAAGGCAGAATTTAAGAGTGATGAACTAGGATATCTGGTGGAAGAAATTTCTAAGCAAAATATTTAAGAGGCTGCATGGCTACTTTAAATCACACATAGGAAAAACCCTTTTAGATATTGGTTTAGGCAAGGATTTCATGACCAAGAACCCAAAAGCAAATGCAGTAAAAACAAAGATAAATAGCTGGGGCTTAATTAAACTAAAGAACTTTTGCATGGCAGGAGGAACAGTCAGCAGAGTAAATTGACAACCCACAGAGTGGGAGAAAATCTTCACAGTCTATACATCTATACATCTGAAAAAGGACTAATATCCAGAATTTACAATGAAGTCAAACAAATTAGCAAGAAAAAAACAAAAAATCCCTTAAAAAGTGGACTAAGGACATGAATAGACAGTTCCCAAAAGAAGATATACAAATGGCCAACATCGTATGAAAAAATGCTCATCTCCACTAATGATCAGGGAAATGCAAATCAAAACCACAATATGATACCACCTTACTCCTGCAAGAATGGCCATAATCAAAAAGTCAAAAAACAGTAGATATTGGCATGGACGCGGTGAACGGGGAACACTTCTACACTGCTGGTGTCAATGTAAACTAGTACAACCACTATGGAAAACAATGTGGAGATTCCTTAAAGAACTAAAAGCAAAACTACCATGATCCAGCAATCCCACTATTGGGTATTTACCCAGAGGAAAAGAAGTCATTATACAAAAAAAGATATTGCATACACATGTTTATAGCAGCACAATTCGCAGTTGCAAATGTTGAACCAATCTAAATGCCCATCAATCAGTGAGTGAATAAAGAAACTGTGGTATATATATTCCATATATATATATATTCCACATATATATATTCCACATATATATATTCCACATATATATATTCCACATGTGTATTCCACATATACATATTCCATATATATATTCCACATATACATATTCCACATATACATATTCCATATATACATATTCCATATATACATTCCATATATATATTCCATATATATACATTCCATATAAATACATTCCACATACATTCCATATATACACACATTCCACATATACACATTCCATATGTACACACGTTCCACATATACACATTCCATATATACACACGTTCCACATATACACATTCCATATATACACACGTTCCACATATACACATTCCATATATACACACGTTCCACATATACACATTCCATATATACACACGTTCCACATATACACATTCCATATATACACACGTTCCACATATACACATTCCATATATACACACGTTCCACATATACACATTCCATATATATACACGTTCCACATCTATACACATTCCATATATATACGTTCCACATCTATACACATTCCATATATATACCTCCCACATCTATACACATTCCATATATATACCTTCCACATCTATACACATTCCATATATATACCTTCCACATCTATACACATTCCATATATATACGTTCCACAGCTATACACATTCCATATATATACGTTCCACAGCTATACACATTCCATATATATATGTTCCACATCTATACACATTCCATATATATAGTTCCACATCTATGCACATTCCATATATATGTTCCATATCTCTATATATTCCATATATATGTTCCATATCTCTATGTTCCATATCTCTATGTTCCATATCTCTATGTTCCATATATACATTCCACGTCTATACACGTTCCATATATACACGTTCCACGTCTATACACGTTCCATATATATATACGTTCCACGTCTATGCACGTTCCATATATATACACGTTCCACGTCTATGCACGTTCCATATATATACACGTTCCACGTCTATGCACGTTCCATATATATATACGTTCCACGTCTATGCACGTTCCATATATATAAGTTCCACGTCTATGCACGTTCCACATATATATATGTTCCACGTACATATGTGTTCCACATACATATGTGTTCCACGTACATATGTGTTCCACGTACATATGTGTTCCATGTACATATGTGTTCCATATATATGTGTTCCATATATATGTGTTCCATATATATGTGTTCCATATATATGTGTTCCATATATATGTGTTCCATATATATGTGTTCCATATATATGTTCCATATATATATATGTTCCATATATATATATATGTGATGGAATACTTCTCAGACGTAAAAATGAATGAATTAATGGCATTCGCAGCAACGTGGATGAGACTGGAGACTTATTCTAAGTGAAATAACTCAGGAATGGTAAACCAAATGAAATGGTTTGGCTATGTCCCCACCCGAATCTCATCTTGAATTGTATCTCCCACAGTTCCCACATATCATGGGAGGAACCCAGTGGGAGGTGATTGAATTATGAGGGCGGGTCTTTCCTGTGCTGGTCTCATGATCGTGAATGAGTGCCACAAGATCTGATGGCTTTAAAAATAGGAATTTCCCTGCACAAGCTCTCTTTGCCTGCTGCCATCCATGTAAGACATGACTTGCTCCTTCTTGCCTTCTGCCATGATTTTGAGGCCCCCTCAGCCACGTAGAACTGAAAGACCATTAAACTTATTTTTCTCCCCAGCTTCGGGTATGTTTTTATCAGCAGCATGAAAACAGACTGATACGCCAAACATTGTATGTTCTCACTCATAAGCGCGAGCTAAGCTATGAGGATGCAAAGGCATAAAAATGACACAGTGGACTTTGGGGACTCAGGAGAAAAGGGTGGGAAGGGGGTGAGGGCTAAAAGACTACAAAATGGGTGCAGTGTATACTGCTTGGGTGATGGGTGCACCAAAATCTCACAAATCTCCACTGAAGAACGTATTCCTGTTGGCCGAGCGCAGTTGCTCACATCTGTAATCCCAGCACTTTGGGAGGCCAAGGCAGGCAGATCACTTGAGGTCCGGAGTTCGAGACCAGCCTGACCAACATGGAGAAACCCCATCTCTACTAAAAATACAAAATTAGCCAGCTATGATGATGCATGCCTGTAATCCCAGCTAGTAGGGAGGCTGAGGCAGGAGAATCACTTGAACCCGGGAAGCAGAGGTTGCAGTGAGCCGAGATCGTGCCATTGCACTCCAGCCTGGGCAACAAGAGCAAAATTCCATCTCAAAAAAAAAAAAAAAAAAAGAACTTATTCATGTAACCAAAACCACCTGTTCCCCAATAACCTATGGAAATAAAAAAATTAATAAATCACATACAGTAAGATGCAAGAGAGAAACAAAGAATTAAAGATGGAATTTTTAATTAAAAGAGAAGCAGAATGTAAAAAATTGTAAAATTTGCAGCCTGGCCATGAAAAGAGTAAAAAACTGTGTTAAGGAGAAGAAACAAGGGTGTAGCCATCCATCATTTGCTAAAGAGATTCGTATGGACAAAAGGTATCATGAACACAAAGGGAGAATAGCACCAAAGGCATTACAGAGAACTTTGATGGTGCTACTTTTATGACAGGCCCATGCTATAGGAGGGCAGAATGGTTTTGGAGATGAACCCAGGGCACCTTCTACAAGCTCATTGCCCAGATCTGCGATGGTCATCTGTACTCTGCCATTCCAGTGCAATGCTTCTTGACCAGCCTAGCCACGCTCAAGTGGCCCCAGGTGTGGCTTGGCCTGCCACACTGGAAGGTACAAGTTGGCAGTGACCATATGGTGCTAATTCTGCAAGCTCACATCATGTAAGAGCTGTAAAGGCATGATGATCTTCACCTCCATCACTACTTAGGAGCCCAGGCAGACCTCCTCACAGGGGAAGAGCCACTTCACACAGCCCCCACTAGGAAAATGCCCAGCAAAAACACAGGAGTGAAGCCACTCTAGAGAATCCTCACTTGAGCAATGCCTAGTGAAGCCATGAAGGTGGGGTCACCTTGAAAACCCTAGAACTGTAGAGTTACCATCATGCAGCTTCATTCTGGGAAAGCTGCAGACAGGAAACTCCACCACTTGAAAGCTGCTGTGTGGACTGAGGCCTGCAAAGCCAAAGGAGTGGGGCTGCCTGAGGCCTTGGGGGATGCAGGATGCGGAGTCAAACGTCATTATTCTTCAGATTTATAACTGATTTTTTTTCCCTGTTGGGTTTTGACTTACTTGGCAGTAGTTACCCATCTTTTCTCACCTATTTATTTTATTTTCAAATGGGAATGCCTCTCCTTTGCCTGTCCCACCATTGTATTTTGGAAGTAAATAACTTGTTTTGATTTTACAGACTTAAAGCTGGAGGAAATTTGCCTCAGAATGAATCATGCCTTGAGTCTCACCCATTTCTGATTCAGATGAGACTCTACTTCTAAATTTTAAATTGGTGCTGGAAGGAATTAAGACCTTTGGGGCTATTGGAATAGAATGAATGTAATTTGTATGTGAGAATGATGAGTTTTGAGAGGGCAGGGGTAGAATGCTACTGTTAGAATGTCACCTTCAAAATGCGTGTTTAAATATAATTGCCATTGTGATGAAATTAAGAGGCAGAACTGTTAAGAAATTATTAGGCCATCAGGGTTTTTCTCTCATGAATGGATTAATGCTGGCATCATCGGTGTGAGTTAGAAATCTTGGGAGTGATAAAAGGTTGGCCCTATTTTTTCTCTGTTTTGGGAATTCACTTGCTCTTCTGCCTTCTGCCGTGGGTGACACGGCACAAAGGCCCTTAGCAGATGCTGGTGCTATGTCCCTAGACTTCCTACAACCACAAGCCAAATAAATTTCTGTTCATTATAAATTACCGAGTCTTGTTATTCTGTAATAGCAGCACAAAACAAAGACAGACCCCACAAATCTCCCTTAGGGACCTCACTGTATTGGACAAGTGTGACACATCCAACATGGGAGGAAGGGAGCTGGGCAACAGCCTCAACAGCCTAGAACATTCTCTGCTTCATCTGAGCCTGACTACTTGCATCCATGAAATTATTTAGTAAAGAGATATTGAGTAGAATATCAGTGAGTGAGATTTATGCTACTCGGATTTGACAATCTGATCCTGTTTGATAGCTTAGTTATCTTACCTGGAGAATGTCTGACTTCACTTAGGTAATGATATATTTCTTTTTAATAATTTGCTTATGAACATGAAGAACCAAAATGTACACTGAAATAAAAACTTAAAATTGAGGAAGATTATTGAGAGTTCCTGATAGAATTTAACCTTAAAGGAAAATTTAAATTTATTAGTAGGTTTCTAACTCTGCTATTTGTTCTTCATAATGGCCATAATCAGAAGAGACCTATTCCATGTAAATTCCATCAGCATGCTACAATGTGAGGAGCATATCTTACATTTCTAGAGTGCTTAAACTCTGTAGTATATATTTATTCACACTAAATGGAATAGAAGTTAATATGCAGAGACATAATTTAAAGTGATGCCTGAATTTAAAGTTTCTGTAATTTCAAATGTAGTAACCCTGGGTTGAAATACAAAGATATATTTTTCCAAGGTACATATCTATGCGGTACGATTTTATTGATAAGAATTATGTAAATTCTGCAAAAATCTTTATAGATGGAATCATTTCCTTAAGTAATATCTGTGATGCTTGTTCCTTTCAATTATGTTGTCAGTTGGGTTCATCAACTAATACTTGTATAGCCGTTGAACTAGTATTATAGTCCTAAAATTAATATTTATGATTTTCAATTCATGATATTGAACATTATTTAGAGCCCTTTTCCTCCACACATTCTTTGCTCTAGTTCTAGAATAATTAAGCTATATTCCCCTTTCAACTCCTTATGTTGCAGTTTTCCATTTGATTGCATGTACTTTAACCTTAAGTTAATTTTCTATAGTATAAGAAACATGTTGTATAATTGGCTTTATTGAAGCAAACTGATTTGGGTCAGTAAAAAGCTCTCAAAAAATGTGTTATAAGAAGGAATAATAATTATTTATTTCTGTAGAAAAAATGTCATGGAGAAAGTTAACATTATAGTTAAGTATATTTGAACTATGATTTCTGCATGTTTTTTCTCCAAAACACCAAGATACATACCTACATTCACATGCATTCAAGCAAACATTTTCTCATAGTCTTATTTTTTTTTAAAGTACACACACACACACACACACACACATATACACATACGTTGTGATTTCTGTGAAACTCAGATTATACACATGTATTTATGTATGTGTATAATTTAATTTTCAAAGAAATCACAGTTAAAGAAAAAAGCAATAATATTGACTCACCATTTCTGTAATTTACTCTCCAGTTCCCTGGTGCCAGCAGCATTAAATTCCAGATGTAGGAGACTTGTCTTTTTTTGCTCAACATTTCCCCATCATTTTTCTTTTTTTGGCGGGGGGGTTGCGGGGGCTGGGGGGAATTGACTGAGAATTTGCCTCAGAGAGATAGGCAGGCACAGCATTGTGAAGGTTATTGTACAGCATAGGAGCTTTCAGATAAAAGAGCTACTGAAGAGTTTCATGTAGGACTTTAGGTAGGATTTGTCTGATTTGTATTTTAATAGATATTTCTGATAGTTTTATGGGAGATGAACCTTGAGAAAATCAAAGTAGAATCACGTAAAAGGCTACAACTTGCATTTGAAGAAAGAAGAATGATGGCTTCTGTTCTCTCTGCTGACTTCCGTAATTCCAGAGTCTAGTTGCTGTTTAACTCCCAGCTTGGGATGATAGAAAAAAGAAGTAACCTGGCTGGTGGTTGAAGTTGACACCTTATCTATTGGAGTGTTCATGGGTTCTTTGAAGTTTATCAGCACTGTGGATCCCCATGATATTCTCAGGATACATTTCTGCATGCTTTGTACGTAAGTTATTGTGTGTCGCTGCTTGACCACTCCTCCTTAGTGAACTTCACAGGTGGGCAACACCACGCATATGTTGGAGTCTTTACATGCTCCCACACATTCCCCTTGAACAGGACTTCATACCGTCTGGGATGGAAGACAGAATTTGGCTCTCAGCCTCTCTATTAAAACAGTTTGCCAACCCATGCATTGATTTCTAGATTTCTGGGTGAGATCATTGTATCTCAACACTTATGGAGTGTATATAACACATACCAAGCTCTCTGGGCTATCTCTTTGAAGTTCAGTCACTGTATATTTGAGGTGATAAAGACGACAGCTTACATCCTACCTTCTCCTTAGAAAGAGACTAGGGATTCACAGGATTTATTTTAGAATAAATTTTCTCAAACTGGTCTCTTGATCATTTTTATACACTCATAAAAAGTGAGAAGTTTTAAATAACACAGATACAAATTTTGTTTATTTCCTTGGAAGATCCTTTATATCCTGATTGATTTTGTAATTTCATACGTACTGTATTTTGGTATCCTGTTGGAAACTTAAATTTTAATATCATGTTAAAACACCATTTTGAGCATTGAACTTCTTTGGTAAGCATGTTATAAGAGTTTCACGGCCACGAGCTTTGTCTTACGCCTGTAATCCCTGCACTTTGGGAGGCCAAGGCGGGCAGATCACCTGAGATCAGGAGTTTGAAACCAGCCTGACCAACATGGAAAAACCCCATCTCTAATAAAAATACAAAAATAGCTGGGCGTGGTGGTGCATGCCTATAATCCCAGCTACTCGAGAGGTTGAGGCAGGAGAATCTCTTGAACCCAGCAGGTGGAGTTTGCGATGAGGAGAGATTCACCGATTCACCATTACACTCCAGCCTGGGCAATAAGAGTAAAACTCCGTCTAAAAAAAAAAAAGAATGATCCTGAGTGGAAGAAATTATTAGCTCAACGATTCCTATGAATGTACTTGTAGTAGAGAAGGATAGAATGGTATACATTCAAGGAGGTATTTAAGAGATATAATCAGTGATAACTCTTGATTAGATGTTGGAAGTGATGGAGACAATCAGACAACTCTTAGGATTCTTACCACGAATGTCTGGTTGTATCAATTTGCTATCAAATAATAAACAGGATAAACACTCTTAACAAGGGGCAGGGTTCATGGAAACACTTTGGACAGAAACTTCCAGGAGATGATGTCTGTATTAAAATATGAATGCCCGGAAAGAAATATGTGTACATATATCGATTTAGGATACTTTAACATACATGTGATTGCTGAAACTCTGTCTGTTGATTAGCTTCCCTAATATGAAAATGTAGAATAAGAAATAAAAATGGGCTGAGCTGGCCCTAGAGGTAGCAACAAAATTCCTGGAGAAGAATACCAAATTAGAAGAGAATACCAAAAAAAAAAAAATGTATATTAATCAAAGAAAGAGAGGAGCTACAGTAAAACAAGAGGACTGTTGTACATTTGAATTTGTGAAAATAGCAAGTTGCAGGAGAGTGTCACTAGATGTATGGCAATATAATAAAAATTGAAAAGACTAATTATGAATAGGAATTAGTAGGTATTTGGAGCACTTAGCAAGAACACTTTTATTATAAAAATGTGGTAGAAGCCAGATTACATTGGGTGAGAACTGAACATTGCATTAGTTAAGATCCTCACAGGAAGCATGCCACATTAAAATTAGATAACTAGAGGCAAATTTAATAAACGGATGATTTACAAAAGTGATGGCAGGGAGTAGAAAAACCACAAAGGATAATACAGTAGCTAAGAGCCTAAAGGCAGGACTCTATTACTGCTCCAAAACTAAGGTGACAAGGAGGGAGTGTTTACCAGAATTGGAAGAAAAATAATTCTATGTAGAAAGGGTCACTTGAAAAAAGTGAGAGCTTCAGTCAAGAAACTTAGTCAGGGTGCAGCAATCCCAGGGGGAAATATGTCATTATCACACTTTCAAATCAAGGGTAGATTACTGTTTAAAGAAGTATCAGTAAGGAGGAGAAGAAAAGAACAGCTGCAACCAGAAAGGGATGTGAGGTCAAAGAAGGGTTTTTAAGATGAATAAGCAGTGAGCATGTTAATAGGGTGTGAAGATTGCCTTAGAGAAGGAGCGGTTGAAAAATAGAGCAGCCAGAGCTGTTCACTAATATCATAGGAGAGAGAGATGGGATTGTGGCACAGGTTAAGGCATTGGTTTTAAACAGCAAAAGGGACTCTTCTTCCTCTCTCATTTTAGGGAATAGATTTATGATTTGCTGACTAAGTAAGTCTAGATTGGAACCAGAAAAAAGTTTCTTGTCCTCTCAGGTAGCTCTGATGAGACTGGGCCAGGTTCTACCTAGAAGTTGACTTCTAATTTGACATCTAGGATAAAGTAGGGATTGGGAGAGAAAGGAAGGAGTAAGCCTAACTTTTTTTAGTTTATGATGTGGGGGCCGTTAGAAGACAATGGAATAGGTTGAGGTTCATACAGGCTGTTTGCCAGATGCTCAAATGAGGAGCTAGAAACACCTCAAATGCCCATGGTGGTAAAGGAGTGATGTTTGGAGGCACAGTAAAGCAGGAGGATCCCAAACTTCCCTACTGGACCAGTCATATTTAGCTACAGAGAGAACTATAGAGAAAATAGTGTTCCTAAGAGATCTAGTTTTCAGTTAAGGCACAAGATAGGATAAAAGGATTTTGCAGAAAGGTTGACTGTGTATGCAAGTTGGTTTCAGAGAATTCAGGGAAAAAGTTTGTAGCTGAGAATGGGGCATAATTTTGTGATAAACCAGGAATGAAAGAGCATAAAGTATGCTTAGTTAAATTATTTTCTTTCAACACAAAGAAGTCAATATATTTTACCTTATTGTGTAATTTTGTTATTACTGTTTTATGCTATGCAATGAAGAGGAACAATGAAAAAGGAAGATTCCTGTGTGAGAATTCATGAGCTACAGTGTTGAAAACAAGAAGTTTGAATGCTTATAAATGGATAGAGAAACAGAAACAATAGGTTTGTGAAAATATATTAGGTTTGTGAAAATATTCTGGCTTGTCTACCAGCAAGCCAGAAGACATCAGGGATGCTTTTCTAACACAAATTACAACATAAAAATATACAAAATGTGGTGTGATTAGAAGTGGTATCCATTTGAATGTATATTATAATTTTTATTCTGTTAATACTGAGCATCTAAAAAGTTCATAACAGTATTTTCAGACTATTGTCTTACTCAGAAGAAAGAAATAATAAGAGAAACTGCCAGTTTGAACTTAATTCTCACCCACACAAAAATGCTTCTTTGTAATGTCATCTTGACAGGAACCATAAGTCACAGCAACTGGGTCATCCTGAATTATCTAACAGAGAAAGAAGGGAAGTCTTACAGGCAAGTCAGACTTTTGGGAAGAAATATAATAAAACAGAAACTTTTTTTATTATCCCATGGTGAAACTGAAATGTCAACTCAAAAGGGAGGAAGAATGTTAAAAATATAATACTGATCATATAAGTGTGTAATCACAATAAAATTTTTAAAGAGAGATAGGAAAAACAAATTCAGTTTGGCAGAGAGTTTGCCAAAGACCTTAAAATTTTAAACATGTGTATGAGATAAAAGGAAGAACACGTTACTGGGGATGAAGACAAAACTGCATCATGTTCTATCGAGAATAGTGTTACAATGAGATAAGTATTGGGCCTCAACTTTAATCTAGAAATGGTAGTTAATTCAGAAAAGAGTTACAAGAACACCTCAAAATCTTAATATCACACCCTGTAAACAACTGTAGCCAATATAACTAGTTGAATTCATTATTTCTCTTACAATGTCATCACCCCATCTATATTATCTCCTGCTTCTCTAATACTCTTTGATAGCTCATAACTTTTCTGTTCATTGTCATTGTTAGAACAGTTTAATTTTCAGGGATTAAAAGAAATGTATTCCCTTTAAAAACTGATTTGATCGCCTATCTGATTTAATACACATCTTCAACTCCCCAGCCCAGATTTAACTTGGTGATGAGAGAAAGGGGAGTGGTCTGTTCATTTGTTATTCCTCTACCTGTTGTTGTTGTTGTCATTGTTGTTTTTAATGCCTCCTGCTCCAGACATGTTGCTCTGGCTTTTCCATTGTTCAGAGGATAGATGAGTGGGAAAGGAATAATGCCTGGCTTGAGTAAAGGAGATCAATTGCTGAGATCAATTCACTGCTTGAGTGGAATTTTTGCAAGGTGAATATAGCTTGTGCCATCCACTCTGAAAGTGCAGACTCTTCCCAGTAATGCCCTCTCTTCACTCTGGTGTAGAGTACTGCCTGACCAACCTCATCCCCTGGGATTATTCCAAGTAAGAGTAAGCCACCAGTCTTCTTCTCTCTGAACTCCAGGGAACTCTGTTCAAGTTCTCCTAAGAAATCTTTCTCTACCCACACTCAGGTTCCATGCTAGCTCTGGGACTCACTAAACTCCCTCATGTAGTTTAAAGTATGCAAGCTTAAAGTAGAAATCACCTTTCTCTCCAAACAGAAGAGAGTGAAAAGTTGTCCTAGTAATTATATGCAAAAATGAATCTTTACTCTGGAGCTTCCTTAGATTTTTTTCTTCCCTTTTATAAACTAGAATTAAGAAAGGGGCTAAGAGTCTATCTGCCATCCAACACCTACTCTTTTTGGGATGTGTCAGCATCTAATGCCATGGTCTTCAACAAAAAAGGAAAAGTCCCATGGAACATTCTGTTATATTTGTTATTCTGAATAAAGCTTAATGTTTACTGTGGCTAGAGGTTACTGAAGACCAGGGCATCAGAAACATATTTTTTCCTAATTACAGAAAGCAGAATCAAGACCCACCGCCCCCTCCAACTGGCAATATAAAATGAGAGTTCTATCTATCATAAAATTATGAGCTCTTCTTCTCTGGAAACTTTAAAATTGATTTTGGAACTAATTAATGACTTTGCAGAAACAAATCACATTTAAGCACACATGATGTTCTGTAGAACCACAAGGTGCTGATGTGAAGCTATATAAGCTGCTTCCTAGTCTTCAGGAAAAATTCTAATTCTCTAAATAAAAATTAAAATGACCCCAAGAAACAATCCGAAAAACGGTAATAGTCAGCAATAACATTGACTACATTTGTACTTTTATTATCTCTCTTTTAATTTAGTTTTTCAGTGGAATCATGATTTTTATGTAAGAACTAATCTCCATTTTTGTTTATTTGAATACTTTCTCTGATAGCTTAATTACATAAAATTATATTAAGAGGTTACTCTATGTAACTAGACTCATTTGAGAAGCTTCAGGGTAAAAGCTAAATCCTCATTCATTCAGAAACCAAAAAAGAAGAGATAATAATGCCTGTCCCACATTTGAAAGAACTGAGCATTTTCTCTTCTTTGCACTGCCTGCCTCAAAAATTAGAGCTAAAATTGTATTAGATTATATAATTAAATAATAGAGTAATGCATAGTTTCCATTGTAATCTTCATGAAATTACCTCAGTTGTATTACATATTATCTATCACAGTCACATTTATTACTGTCTTCTGACCAAAGCTTAGGTCCTTGCAAGAGCTTTTGGTAGGTAATAGTTGTTGCTGATGTTATAGAAGTTTGAGGTTTGGTCAAAAATAATGAAATTCATTAGTTGGAAGATGACTAATGATGTGTTTTGAGTTTCCCAAGACATACTGTTTTGTTCACCAACTTTCATAACTTGTTCCTCTATAAATACTGCTAATTTTATAAGCAAACATGTTGATTCCTTTGAATTCGTATGTTTTTGATTACTAATAAGGTATTAGTAGTAGTATCTTTCACCAATGTCTATTTACCACTAATATTTTATCTTTTATTTTTGTCTGATTACTTTGTCAATTTATCTATAGAACTCTAAAGGGGCTTAAATTTTGATAATCTGTCAATTAAGTTTATTTTGAATGCAAAAATTATATATATATGTGTATATATATATATATATATATATATATTTTTTTTTTTTTTGAAACAGGGTCTCACTCTTTTGCCCAGGCTGGAGTGCAGAAGTGTGATCATGGCTCACTGCAGCACTGATCTCCCAGGCTCAAGCATTCAGCCTCCCGAGTAGCGAGGACTAAAGGCTAATTTTTGTAGAAACAAGATTTTGCCATGTTGCCCAAGCTGGTCTCAAATTCCTGGGCTCAAGTGATCTGCCCACCTCCACCTCTCAAAGTGCTGGGATTACAGGTGTGAGCCACCCTGCGTAGTCCTGCTATTAATTTTTAAGTAGTTAATTGTGTCTTCAATTTTTATAAAACTTATTTATTCATAATATTGATTAAAATGTTTTCTTTTACATTTTTTATTTTAATATTTAACTTTTTGATCTATCTATAATTTATTTGATTAATTGTGTGGAGTAAGAGCTCTCATTTGATTTTTCCCCAAAACCAATTTTATTTATTTAATAATACAGAATTTACCCATCAGTTAGGGTTACAACATTTATTATTCATTAAGTGAATAGTCATTAGTGACAAAGGTATAGAAAGACTGCACAATATAAACCATTAGTGGCAGGTTGGTTGTTCAGTCTTTTTGAATAACATTTGAACGATGTTTATCAAGCATTTAAAAATTTTATTTCTTCTGTAATAAAAAACATACTTCTTAAAAGCTAGTTTAGAATTAACATAAATTACAAAAAGATTATTCTCAATATGCTAGCTGCAGAATTACTTAAAAGTTTTGACAGTTTTAAACAACTTAAAGACTCAATATTAAAAGAAATTAATTGTATTTTGACACTATCAATGTTTATCGTATTTTGATCCTAAAATCAATGTTTAATATTATGTGCTGTGTTGACATCTGGTGAAACAGTAAAAGCCTCAAATGCCCTAACCACAAGTTCCTCTCCTCACTTTGCTCCAGAGGATAAGGTCCCTAGCCAAAAATCCTCCTTCTTATGGGGACCACACTCGGATCCTGCTTATTCTTGAGTAGTAGCAGGTTCACATTTCCTGCTGGCTCAAAAAAATATTCAAACATGTTAATTACATTCTCTGAAGGCACCAGTGGAAATACAGATTCCTCCTGAGACATCCACTGGTTGTTTACTCTGTCCCAAGTGCAGCCCCCATCTGCCCTGCTAGCCGATGCCGTGTCCTCCTTCCTCCTTCCACTTGCTGTAGGTATTATTTGACCAGTACATTGCCATTGATCTCATCTGTCAGTGTCAGGAATTGTGTGTTTGACTATCCTCACAAACTTAGGGGCAAGAATACTTCCCTTAGCAATGAGGGGAATAAGAGGTGATTACAACAATAATAAAATATTATAATAATTAATAAACATTTACAACAATTTGAGTCACATTTGAAGTGCCTGTTATAACATTAAGTTTAAATATGTAGGAATCAAAATTCTATTGCTTTAAAGATATATGTTTACCTTAATCTGGGAGAAAGTATACTAAAAATATTCATTTTGTTGATGTGGAAGCCATGAAAATGTGGTGTTCTAATCTTTTATAGGGAGTGACATTGGTTGATGACCCCAAGCATGGCCCCCGCCTTGATCCATCACTGCTTTTGCACCAAATGCTCCCTCAGCCTGCTCCAACCTGATTACTGACCATGGCAGTAATAATAAAGATTATTTCTTTAAGATGCATGACTATTTCAATAGGTGTCTTTATTTCAAGGATTTATCGTCAGCCTCGTCTAAACTTTCTTAGAATTGTATTGCAATCTGAAACTCTTCCTATCTATCCTCCTTTCTTCTTCCTCTCTTTTACAGAAGTCAGAAGAGCCTTACAACCTGAAAGCTCATTCCACCTTCTCCATCTTCTCCCCCAATCAATAAATTTCTTGCATGTCTAATACCAACTTTACATCTGTTCCTTAGTGTACCCAAACTAACACAATTTTTCCAAAATCTTTATATTCAATTGCAGAACATAGTAAAACTATAACTCATCATTTTATAATTTCATTTGCTTGCAACTTTCATTTGTTTAACATAAATTTAATGTCATCCTATTAAGTGATAGGTCTATACCATCAAAAGACTTATGCATTTCCGGTAGAAACAAGATTGGTTATAACTTAAACAATAAGAATATGCAAATAATAGTAATAAAACAATAATGCAAGAAATTGCATCAGATAGAATTTCATTATGTGACTGAAAAGAACAGAAAACAAGCGCTATAAATTGTGGAAAGATATATCTTATAGTTGAAGTAGTGGGTAAAGTCTATGTGATCATAGGATTGGAGTTCATTCTTCAAAGTTAAATAACATAGAGAAACACTATGAATGGCAGAGGTTTTACAGACAAGGGGAAGTAGGAATAATAAAAAAAGGCAGCAGAAGAAATGTGTTTTAAGAGTAATGAATAGCAAATTGTGGAAACATAATTTGTAATCTCCCTTAATGTTAAATATTAAAATACATGCTGTGTTATTTAAAACATAGCGACATGTTTTTAGTTTTAAGAGAACATAATGCAATCTGTATTCAGTTGACTTTTATTCTATATGTGTACCTATATGACTACGAGTTGAAGAGTCAGAACATCTAACTTAAGGTTATGTGCATTATGAATGTTTAAACATAGTGAATATATCCATCACATATGAGATAGAAGTGCCATGTTGATTTCTACTTCTTCCTTTCTTGGCTGCATACCAAGGATGTTAGTAAAACATATAATTCATTATATGAAAGTCAATTATAGAATTGTATTTACAATGAAAAATGTCATTACCAGTAAAAATACAGAAAGATAATGAGAGCATAACTTGAATTTATCTTTTATCACTTCATGCAGGACAAGATAATAATTGGGACTCTAAGCTTTTGAGTACTTATCTTTGGAAATAAAAATTCAAATGAATAATTAGACTGCTTTCTTTGATGTTTATTAAAGCATACTTGTTTTAATAGGTAATGTAGTAACACAAAAATTATTTTTTATGTGTTTTTTTATAGCAAAAGCCTAACTTCTCAAAAGAGAAATACATTTTTATCTGGTTGGAAAATGTTTTCTAATTTGACTACTATATAATGTTTCTTAATACAGTATTGTCTGTAACAGGTATTTACATCAGTTTAAAAGAGAATCTCATTTTTCTGTTCACCTCATTATTATTATAACTAATCACTGGTTGTCATGGTTTACAGCTATTAATATGGGGATTTAATTTTTAATATAAATTTAATATAAACTATATATTTATATAATTTTAAGGATAATAAGTATGTGTGTGCATATATGTATATGTTAGATTCAAAACATTATAAATAACAAGGAAAACTAATAATAGTATCTATGAAGTGATTCAAAATAAATAATTTCATCTAGTCATTTCAGCAGACCAATAAATATAAAAATCTTCATGTATTCTTTCTTCCTAGGTGATAATTCTGACACAAGAGTTTAATAAATTTGCCAAGGTCATATAATGCACAGATGTCAAACCCAAATTCCACTCTGAGTTTTTTGTTGCAAGTTGAGCATCTTTTCTAAAGGTAGAGAATTATCATAAAGGCATACTTTAATGGTACATGAGTAATTTACTTCCAAAGTTCTTGACCTCAAAGTATGGTCTTAAACATAAAGATATTAAAATGAAATCATTATTCAATACTACAAAAAATTTTCAAGCATTACATTGATATTAAATAGGGAACACAATTATATAATATCCTTCAAACTTGTTTATTTTCATACTGATAATATATTTATCTGCAAATAAAATGGGTTAAATAAAAAGCACAAGTTAGTTAAAATATTTGGATAAAACATTTAAAAGAAAAATAGCTTTTTATATATTATTTTGCTTGATAAATTATGTGTTTTAATAGAGAAAAAGATGAGAGAAGGAAACAGAAATAATGTATGTGTGTGCTACAAGAGATTTCATGAAAAGAGGAACAGGATTTTATAACTAAGATCAATGAGGTTGTGATTCCAAGACCATTTCTCCTTTGTAAGGATAGTGGTCATTAATGATTCTTCCTGAAAGAAAAAAAGATGGAGAAGAGAGAGTAATCTGCAGTCTGGTGAACATTGGTAGAGACCAGTGACCCAAGAAAACAGAGTTAAAGCAAGACAAGTCAAGGTAAATGAGCAAAATGTACCACTTGGGAAGAGAAAGAGACTGTAGATGGTATTTTAGTTGGACAGAAGATTGCTACTTTGAGTTGGCATATGTGAATTTAATTTTGAATTGGACAGATGACTGCTAACTTGTAGATCAAAAGTTAAGTATATAAACTCAAAGTGAGCTAAGAAAGATATAATTTTATCTCTTGACATTTCTGTCTATACATCACACAAATCCTCAGAAGCCAAATTTTAAAATTATTCTTATTATATTGTTATGTGCATGTATGTAAATATGTATGTATCTACCTTTCTTTCCAGAATATTCTCTGTGATCAAGGACTTTTCTTTATGTATTTTCAGAGCATAAATTTAGCATCCAGAATCTTGTAAATGTTCAGCAATTTTTTTAAATTAATGACTAAATAGTTGGTTTGAGTAACTACCAATAAAAAGCTAAGGCAGAAGGCCAAAATTAGGATCCTAGTAATTCTAGTCCATGTCAGTCATAGTCAGCAGTATTGATTCAGGTATTCAACAACATAGGCCATTGATATTATGTCCCCCTCAGTAGCCTACACTTAAATTATAGAAGAAAAAAACTGTGAGTAAATATTTGAAAAGAGTAGCAAGAGAAAAGGAAAGTGATATGGCAAAATAACAAACTTTAAGGTAAGTTCACAGGTGAGTTCTATGTAAAATACATGTTTTGACTATAATTGCAGCTGAAGGAAAAATCCGAAAGAGAGGATGAAAATAGAATTCAGAATATCCTCCATGGAGAATACACTGTGCATTTTGTGAGTTTAGAATCAAGCACAGTGCTGACATATAACACCTGTTCAATTGATATTTGTTTAGCAAATAAATGAACTCAAATGGGGTTTTCAATTATCTTTTTACGAGGAAGTAAGAAACTATAAACAGGAACTACTGTAATAAATTTTAGAAAGTCCTATAACCTTTCCTGCTTTCTCATGTTTATTACTTTGCTATCCTTAGTTTTTTAAATATAGTTATTGAATAGGAAATCATTATAATTAGATTTGTTCTTAACTTTAGTGACAGCCAAAAGGAGAAAGCTGGGGAAAAGGATAAGACAATGGAAAAGGGAGCCCTCAGCAAAGGAAAGGACAAGGAAAGCCGTCAAAGACAGTAGGAAGACTAAATCCCTCTGGTTTTCTGCAGTAAAAGAAAGCCTGGGGATAAACAGCCTAAGTCTGAGAAAACATCCAGGGGCTTAATACCCACTCACTGAATTTAATATTCAACAAATTTAAAAGCCCTGAGGTACCCTATCTCTAATATCAATATTGTGCATTTGTAAAATGACTTAACATTTATTTTCAAAGAAGTAAAGGACATGTAATTAAGAACAGATATTTTTAACATGTGTTTTTCCCCTTGAAAAATTAAGTTATAAGAAATGTTGTGGGCTGATCATGGTTGCTCACACCCATAATCCCAACACTTTGGGAGGCCAGGAAGGCAGACCACTTGAGTCCAGGAGTTCAAGACCAGCTTGGGCAACATAGTAAAACCCTGTGTCCACAAAAAATACAAAAATTAATCAAGTGTGATGGCCCATGCCTGTGGTCCCAGCTGTTCAGGAGGCTGAGTGTGTTAGGAGGCTCACTTGAGCCTGGGAGGTCAAGGCCACGGTGAGCTGTGATTGCCCCATTGTACTCCAGCCTGAGTGACAGCAAGATACTACCTCAGAAAGAAAAAAAAAATTCTCAAAATATGTTGTCAGCAGCATATCTCTCTGATTTTCTTATAAACATAAACAGCAATTACTTTAGATAAACTGAAAATCGTGGACTATATCTATAAAACAATCCGGTGAGCAGGCATTTCAGTGAAATCCACAAAATGAGTGGGTAGGGCCAAACTACCTATAGGTGAGAAATTCATGTAGTACCAGCATTTGTAGAGGAGGAAGCAAAGGAAAGAAAGAGGGTGTGTGAAACACCAAGAATAGAACACAAAATCCCGAAGGATGCCCACTGGAAATCATTGCACATCAACCTTAGAAGAGCTGCTAGAGCTAGAAAGGTTTTTATGTATTTCTTTTCACTAAATTTAGCCTAAAATCTGTAGAGGCTGGAGGGATCTGGACATATGAACCTCAGAGCTAACTAACAGAAGTTTCCAGTGTGGACACATTCTACACTGAAAGAAAAAAAAAACTTGTTGGTCAAATCCGAATTAAGCAAGAAGTGAAAATAGGACAAATAAATTGATATAAAAGATGTGTGTGCATTATTCCTTCATATGTGCAAAATATGACAGAACTGAAGCTGTTCATAACAGCTATATCAATAAATGTAAACCACTTAACTCATTTATTAAAATAAAAAATTTGCATCGTCTAACAAAGCTAAATGTACACCATGTCCCATGTCTCTCTATACGACAATGGATCAATCTCCAGCTTATTGTTAAGGAAAAGAAAATCAACTTAGACAAGAGTGTGTGGTATATAATAACATTTACCTAAGAAAAGAGGGGTGTGTAAATAATACATGCACACACACATATATACTTACATTTATATAAGTCTTACATTTATATATCCTTTCTCCCATACTAAGAGTTTTTCAACAACACTGAGAATAATAAAAGAGCTCAAATAATTCATTTTCCATTATCTCATGATAACCCCAACATTTATACGCAACCAATACTAACATGTAAGTGGTGTGTGTGAATATGTATGTACATATGCATATATATTCATACATACCCATATATATACACACACATACTTGTTTTTTGATGAATAAATAAATTTTGATTTATATTGATTTATTATTTATAGTTTTTGCAAAGATCAAATAAAACGGAGGACATAGATAAAAACTAGACTTCTTTGAATATTCTTTTTTAGTGAATTTTTCTTTGAAAATATGCAACTTGTTTCCATGGTTTTTTAAGTTAAATTTTAAGAAGTAATCTATAAATATTAAAAATAAAATATACAATAGATCTAAATATATATCCAGTTAGAGGTATAATAACACAGTAAGGTACTATTCCAAGGGCCTTATAAGCAAAGCAATTCTTCTCTACATCCATACGAGATACATCTTAAGAACAATATGAACTACCAAAAAATCCAAGATTTTATCAATAATCACATTGAAATTATTATTCTAAGACTGCTGTGTTCATATCATGAGATATGGTAAATAAGTCATCCATATGAACTCTTCTGTTATCCTCAGTGTCTTTGATCACCTCTCTGTATAGGAGAAAGGAGATACAAAATATGAGACAGAAATGAAACACTGTGTCTTCCTGTTTTTGTTGGAAGTCCAAGTATGATGCCAAAGCTGGGAATATATTTTATATTAAAACAATGAGCATCCCTACAGCACAGCTCGTAGCCATGAAATGCCTTTACTTTTAGCAGGAGTTAGGGCTCTTTGGCAAAGTAGCTAAAACCAGACCTAGGCCAGAAAATTAACAAGACAAAATTGAAACATTTTGCTCTACTAATAGTAAGATGAACAGCTTCCCACCAAAGTTAGAATAATTTGAGCATCAATAATAGAATACAACGTCTGCAATAGGTTTATCTATATGTGCATATATATATATATTTAAATGTATTAAATCAAAAGGATAATAAAAACAAAAAACAAGTAATTGCCCACAGTTGGAGAATGCTAGTTTTCTAACACTCTGTTTTGAAAATTAATAGGTAAAAAGAACTACGTTTCTTTCACCTTTCCTTTATGAACTCTACCTCTGAGTAACCAAATAGAAGAGAAGTTTCTCTTTATAAAGGTATTCCAGCTATTAAATGAAGAAATAATTGCAATGTCACTATTTCACAACCCCTAATGAATTAATGCATAGAGGCATTGATCATTGATAGCTGCTAAAATCACACAAAGACAGACGTTAAGTGTCTCCTTATGGAAGAAGACAAGATAACTCCCTTTTTTGAAGCAGACTTACTTAAATATTGAAACTGAATCTAATCTAATCTCTATATCCAACTCTCAATTTACAGAAAATACAGAGCATGTTAAAGGACAGACTATTAGACAACTTATTTAACAAAAGACTTTTTTGGGATCTCTTTTTATTACCTAAAAAATACATCTTTTTAAAAGAGAGAATTATTTATAAAGTGCCTCAGCCTTCCAGAAAAATGTTCCCAGTTCATTGATGGCAAACTCAAACAGGTTTGAAAAAAAATCTCAATATTAAATATGGATATGATGCATCAGTTCAAGGTGATTTCTGGTTAGCTGTGTGCTGACAGGCTAGCTAATGATATTCTCTGAGAAGGATTACCTCTGAATGAAAGTGTATGGCTGAAATATGAATGTAAAGAAAAAAAGATTAAATGTCTTTTTTGAAGTTAATTTAATCACAGACCTTTGATATCTTTCTCCTTTTCATTCCAAGAATGTTACTGATCATTATAACCAGAATTTGGTGTTTTCCATTTATTTCTTCCTGACACATCACATTACATACCTGTGAGATGTCTGAGTTTCTGCCTATGGGTTTAAGTTTTCTCAACATACATTCAGGAAAGACTATATCCCTCAGATATTTATGAAGGTAATTCGAAAAATAAAACCGAGGTGGTACTTTTCTTCCTTATGAAGAAATGACTTCTTGTGGAAGGGCTTATTTGATCATGAATGAATTTCAGTCACCAAATATTTACCAAATGTTCATCATATGCCAACTTCTAAGGTAAGTGCTGAAGACATAATGATTTACTTATTAAGGTTATTCAATAGTTTCATAGTATATTAGCCCCACCCTTAATATGGTTTCATTTTCCATTTTCACTTACCTGATTCCAACTACTGTCTGAAAATATTAATAAATGGAAAATTTCTGAAATAAACAATTCATAAGTTTTAAACTACATGTCATTCTGATGAGTGTGATGAAATATTGTGCTGCCCTGCTTCATCTTGTCCCTGGATGTGAATTATCCCTTTGTCCAGTGTATCTATGCTATATACACTACCCGCCCTTTGGCCATCAATGTCATCAGCTTCTGAGATCCAGCCATTGACATCGTTATGGCTCAATGATCCAAGATCACCTGAAGCAGATGATTTTAGAAGGATAAATTGTAGTCTACTGCTATGTCACAAGACCTATGTTATTCACCTCGCTTTGCCTTATCACATAGGTATTTTACCATCTCCCGTAATCACAAGATGAAGGGTAGGTACAGTACAATAAGAGAGGGAGAGAGACTACATTCACATAACTTATATTACAGTATATTTTATAATTGTTCTATTTTATTATCTGTTATTTTTGTTAAAACCTTACCGTGTCTAACTGATAAATTAAATTTTATTATACGCATGTATGTATGTGTGTATAGGAAAAAGTGTAGTATATATAGAGAGAGTTCAGTACTATCCAAGGTTTAAGGAATCCACTAAGGAAGTATCCCCTGGCGGTGAGGGGAGACTACTGCACTCATTATATACTAGGCATCTTAACAACTGGCAGATCTGCTGTTTGAACTCAGAGAGGTTGTTTCTAGACTCTGCATCAGAAGTTCCCAAACTTTTTCATCAATGACACTTTGAGTGTCTTGGTAATTTATTTAATAATGTTACAAGACCAAAAGAAACATCCTAGTGTTTCATTATTATGTATTTAGGTCTCCAAGCTTAACAATACTAGCATATGTTGTGCCTGACAGATGTCTCTGTGTTTTTTTCAAATATTTAAAAATCTTTTGGTACTCTGGGAGTTTACTGGATGTTTAGGTACACTAAAAATGCAGATCAACTTATTTACCACTACACATGCTGCTTACATATGAAAAACAGTCTACTCTCAGTCTAGGCCAGCAATAGTCATTCAGTTTTAAAATTTATTTTAAAGGCTCAAAGTAATATATACATCAAATATAACTTTAAAAATAAAAATGAAATTATGATAAATATGCAAAATATTGGTTGTCAATCATGGTCTTTACTGATACATTAGAATATGTCTCAAGAGTTGGCAGAAGTATTATAAAAAAATTTTAATATAAGCTAAGGTATCCAAGTTTGGAGGATGATGTACATTTTAAGTTATCACTAAAATATACTTTCTGCATGCTTTAGTTAGTAGAAGGAATATACTCTCATATGTTTATCCAGCTCATTGGCAATTGTGCATTAATATTTGTATAAATGATGCACTCATGACTATAGGCACTATACACTGTTCATTGTAAGTCACAGTTTTGCAGAAAAAACGAAGTCAGGAACCACTGTCTAGAGTTACATAGAGGCATCATGGAGTGAGGAAGATAAGAACATAGGTTTTTAGATACGAAAGAGACGGAGTGGAATCCTGAATCAACCAAGGACTGATTGGTTGATTCAGAGGGCACAATAAATGTATGACTGTAGAAAAGCTACTAATTATCTCCTGGATGTCAGTGTCTCATCTGTAAAATGGGGCATATAATACTCAAATTGAAACTTATTATTTTGATTTAAATAAGATGCCTAAAATGCTTACTTCCTGGCATACATTAAATGTTGAATAAATGAAATAAAGAAGGGATATAATATAAAAGTTACTGTATGAAGTATCATAGCATTTCAGGGAGGAAATTACTTACCACTGGAGAGGTCAAAAAGATGTTATACGACTGGCTTTTAAGGATAGCTTAGAGCAGTGACTTTCAAATTTCATTACCATGACCAAATAAACATGCGTTTTAGATGCTTTATTACAATGTTGTGTTTGTATAATTTTAACAAATTCAAAAGATACATTTTCTTTCTATATTTGATGCATCCTGTTTAAAACCTACTAAATTATTTTTCATGTCTCTTAGTTTGAAAGGCATTTATTCAAATCTTGGGCAGAGACTGAATTGAAGCTTTAATTTAAGAATCAAATAGTATCTAGGTAGGGACTGATCCTTCCTTCCAAAAGTATGGTAGGCTAGATATGCTACAGAGATTGCCACTGAAACGCCTAAGATCTGGAATAAATTACAGTAACATATATCTTTTACATTAATATGTTCACTAAAATTAAGAGAAGATTAAAGATTCAGGGGCAACAAACAGACACAACCGTGAGCTGAACCATAAGCAGAGGGCAATAAGGAAGAAACAAGTGAGAAGAAAAGGGTATGGTGCATTGTGCCTGCCATTAGGGCACAAGCCCATGTTAATGTTAGTGAGGGAAAACAAAAGATTCTAAAGGCATGGCAAAGTGAAGAAGGTCCTCCAGAGATTCTGTGATTAAACTGAAGCCCATGGCAAGGCTAAAAATATTCCAGGTCATTTATAACTATTGGTTGAATAGTAGGATAAAATTCAAGTTCACTCTGGTGAAAAACACTCCTATGTATTTTGATAGATGAAATTCAAAACCAAATATACCAAACATGTTAGGAAACAAGACACCATGAGTAAAAGTCAGCAGGAAGGAAAAAGGAAAAAAAAAAACATTTAGACCACCAAGAACATCAGATATTGGGGTTACTAGATAAATAATACAATATAATTATGTATAAATTAATGAGAAAAAGAAAAGGCCAGGTAAGTTTCATGAAAATGACTGATAAAGACATGAAAAGATGTTTAAACCAATTAATAATCACGGAAATTCAAATCTGATTAAAATGAATTCAAATTTACACACACTAGATAAGGGAGAATCAAGAAGTATTATAATGTTAAGTGTCGACAAAAATGTGAAACAACTGGAACTTTTATACTCTCCTGGTATATATGAAATGCAAGTTGGTAGAGTAATTTTATTAAAAATCTGATAGTAACAGAGTTGAACATGTGAATACAACTTGGGAATTCTACTCTTAGAAGAACTTGAATGAAGTCTAATAAGAGAAATCCACAAAAATAAGACCTCAAGTTTTGCATCCTCAGTCTTAGGGTAGAGAGGAAATAAACCTTCCATATATAGAAGGGGAAAGAGGAAATTTGTCTATGGCATAAAATGATAGAGAAAATTTGCCTTAGGCATGAAAAAATATAGAATCAAGCCAATCTTTATATAGGTTTTAAGTTCAAAATCAAGCTGCCTATGTTGTGCAAAAAGAAAAACAAAACCAGACAAAAACCTCACTAGCTAATTTAAGTGATCTTTCTGTTGGTAGTCCTCCCATCCCTGCTCATTAGACTGATATAAGTAAATGTAGAGCTCTAGAAGAACTTATACTTCAATTGAGTCTTCTAGTAGTTTCCACAGAAATGATCCCTGAGAAGACTGGCTGTGTTTTCTGGTACAGAGGTTTCATGCATGGACTCTCTCTCACAAGGGTGATCTTCCTCTTGCTATTGTTGAATGCCTGACCTCCCAGCAGTAGACTGATATTGAACAACAGATCCCCTACCATCCCTGGAGACCTTTTTCATTCTGGAGAGGCCACTGAGTCTGTCTTACAGAAGGACACCTGCACCTAACATGGGTTTGCCTTCCCTTTCTACAGTACTTTTGTTTTATTTTATTTTATATTTTTAGTTCGAGGTGGGAATATAATAGCAAGTGAGGATGTGATAGGTCTTATCAAGTAGAAGGAAAAATTGATGTGGAAGAAATATGGGAGAATTGCCACAGTCAAGTCCATGAGCAATGAACTACACATTGGGGTGACTACTAATTCTTGAAATGGCAAAGGATTAGGGTTATGAATAGTTGTAGTGGATCTGGAGGTGTTCTGCCTCAATCATATTTACCGGAAGGTACGCCTATTCACCAATTGTGGAAGTTTTTTCTGCTAATAGCTCACACCTGTCGCCTTCTCTGATGAGTCACCTATAACCTAGGCCAAACAGGAGCGTTATTGCCCTGGTAGTTACACAGATATACCTGCGACTCTCAGACGCCATCCAGGCCAATGACTGAAGCAACTCATTCCAGAGTTCCTTTCAGGAAAGGCTGAAGGGGCTTCCTAGCTGGTATCTCCTTCTTCCTTGGCTTTTTGCCCTGCCCCATTCTGCCTCCCTATGGCCTGTTCCCAAGCTCTTCCTCAACCAATCTCTTGAGAATCTCCTTCTCAGATTCTACCTCTAGAGAAGGAAAACTAAGATGAGAACTTTAAGAGACTCACTTGTCCAGATCCTTATTTAACATAGGTTCCATTTACTAAAAATCTCTGTAGTGCTTGCCTGTATTCATGGCAGTCTTTCTGTCACTCAGTAAAAGAAAGCCATAACTTTTATTTCAGTTGAGTCCTACTGTGGCATATTTTCCCAAGGTGAGAAACTGTTTGGAGTACATGGAAGAGTGGAAAAAGGAGTAATTCATTATACTGATTTCAGGGTAGCCTCCTTTAATCATTAATCAAGGTACCATAAACACATCAGAATTTATTTTTCCCTGTGTGATGTGTGTGTGTGTGTGTATCAGATAGATGATAAGATAGATAAGTTTGGACAAATAGATGATACATAATTTAAGAGTTATTTCTGTTAAGCCTGTGTTTTAGCTTATACTGGAAAATTGTTTATTCAGGAATTTGAAGAATGTGGTGATGGAGGAATCACAATTGTTTATTAGTATATCTTCTATCTCTGAAATATTGCCCAATAATTCATTGCACTTGAAGAAAGGTCCACTGAGAGCAAATCAAAGAGAAAATTGTAAGAAATATTAACTCTTAAAAATGACTTCCTTTTCATATATTTAAATATATTGCAGATAGCCTCAAAATTCATCCCAAGAACACTTTAACTGGAGTTAAAAGCACATTCTAACAGCTTAAGCACTTAATGATGTTCATTCTTTACAATTGAATTTGAATATTTCCCAAGACTTCTAAATTTTGCAAGATACAATGAACAAAATCCACTGGAAAAAAAATACGATTTTGTTTCAGATTTAATAGTAAGATGGGTAAAACTTATTTTATTTGTTATATCACAACATTATCCAGAGTCAATTATTATCTGTTTTCACCTTATAAAATATTTAATATTTTTAAAACCTATTAACAAAAATAAAAATGAGTTTTATGTGTCAAACATTGTGTTTTAACAGTCAATATATTTATTTTAACTGCATAGAAATTAATGTAGTAATTTTTGAGTTTTTACAATATTGTTGATAAATACTTTTCAAGGCCCAAAACCAGACAGACAGGCACACATTTACCAAAAGAATACCATGGGTTTTAGCATATTCCTTGCCCTGGTACATGAAAATATTCTAGCATTTATTATTACAAAGTAAGTAATGAAAATAGCATATATATTTATCTTTTTATAACTTATTTTTCAAAAGGTAATTAAATTACATCCATTTGATTTTAATTCCGATAGCTTTGTTTGTAATCTATTTTACAAGATGCAACTTTTATTTTAGAATAGTTTTAATGCTATTACACAAAATATTTTTTAATTTAATAATGAGGATGGCCTTTGAGCTAAAATAAGCCTGATTTGGGTGGTAAGTTGACATGAAGATTGCCCTTGCTAATTAGGTTTGACGGCAGATAAATTGAAGAAGTTAATTGAGTCAAATCTTAGATCTCCATTGTTTTGATGGCTATATATCTATGTACCTATATCCTTATTCCCCTATTATATATCGTTTATCAATCTATTAATTGATCTATGACCTTCAATAAAAGAATATTATAAAAATAATGACTTGTCAAATTGTAATAGAATTAATAATATTTGATTTTTTTCAACCTTTTTAAAATGTATGAGGTTAAATGAGGTGCCATTATGTGAAACTCTTACATGCAGTGTCGTTATTTGATAAGTATGGAAAAGCTATTTTGTATTCTTTCCTGAAACTTACTAAGAGACAAACTTAATGACTGGGTAATACATCCTCTTATACAGCAGGAAGTTTATAATTTTTTTTTTTTTGCCTGAAGCAGCACCAGACCTGACAAACTTTTTAGCTGATAGGTCTTTAAGGTTTTTAATTTTGTTTTGTTTGTTTTAATGAGGGATAGCCATGCAGACTTTTTAAGCATCTATTTTGAACCAGTTAAAAGAACTGAAAAAATTACCAAAAGAAAACTTCTACTCTGACACATTAGTTAGAAAAACAAGGTTTTTAGCATTTACATTTATAAAAACAAATCATTGAAAGAAAATTGGTGCTGAACTTCTTTTTCATATGTCAAATTCATTCATGAAAATATACACTTATTGAAAAAAATCCTTATTCAGCCTCTTCAAGAGACTCATTTCGAATAAAACATTTTATGTTTACTAATTCCTTTGGAAAGTTTGCAGATTATTGCATTTTGATCAAAAATCTTACTATTAGTAATGCCACCTCAGTCTACGAGAATTTTTAAGGCTTGATTACACGCGTGAGCCACCGTGCCCGACCCACATTATGAATTTTTGTGCGTGCAGCAAAAATTTTGATTTGCATTTCTCTGATGATTAGTGATGTTGAGCACTTTTTCATATACCTGTTGGCCCAGGATGGAGAGCAGGGGCATGATCTGGGCTCATGGCAACCTCCGCCTCCGTGGTTCAAGCGATTCTCCTGTCTCAGCCTCCAGAGTAGCTGGGATTACAGGAAAGTGCCACTGCACCCGGCTAATTTTTTGTATTTTTAGTAGAGACGGGGTTTCAACATGTTGGCCAGGCTGGTCTTGAACTCCTGCCCTCAAGTAATCTGCCCTCCTCGGCCTCCCAAAGTGCTAGGATTACAGGTGTGAGCCACTGCGCCCGGCCCACATTATGAATTTTTGTGCGTGCAGTAAATCTAGTGAAATAATTGTAGGAGAAAAACAACATAAATATTGTGAATGTTAAAGAGTGCTTTCTCATGGATACTATGTTTTCTCTCTAATGCATGATTGAGGATGTTCAATTATTTTTGTTGAAAGCAGTAATTAGAACCACTTGACTTGTAACAGAATGTGTTGCCTCATCTTTACAGTCAGTATATTCTAGCAACAACATTTTGAAACTTTGGTTTCGCAGCCCAGAGATGATAAACCTTCAGCATGGTAAAATTTGGCTTGATGAGAAATAACGTGTCTTTTGCAAATTGGGAAAAGGGCGATCATTAAAGAGAAAGTGGAAAAAGAGACCAGTAAGATGTCAGGATCTCGGGTGCCTTCTCAAGCAGGTAATGTATAGAAGAAGTACATAGGCAAATTGAGGATTCTGTCATTGATTAGCTTAAAACTATGCCCTTGCTAGAAATGTCTTTGTGTATCTCTAGGGTTACACATAAATCCGTTGTTTGGTAGACCCCTACACTAGGATAATCATGTAGGGGGACCAAGCATCCCAGACCAAACATCTTTTTCAGGTAAAAAAGTAATCACTTTAAATTGAACTAATATGTAATTGTTTGTTTTCTCTAATATATTTCAGCAACTGAAGTTGCATACGGAGTAACTGGAGAATTAGACTTAAATGGAAAGGAGTTTTGCCCTGTGAGAGAAGGGCAATGATTAAAGATGTAGAGCAGGGATTAAATCTATAGTGAATTAATCAGAAAATGAGACAATTTGGATGATGAGGGCCAGTGAGGTAAAAGTTGTTGGAGTTGGGGTATTGGAGAGAAAATATGAGGTTATGGCATTCAAGTGGGAAGTTTAAAATTCAGGTTATGTAAAACATATGTTTTGTGCTATCTTGGTTACATCCACACAAAATAATCAATTTGTAGTTTTGCAGAAGGCCTTATAGCCCATTAAGCCTTAGTTCATTACCCTCCTTTTACAGATGAAGACCTAGCAATATTAATGAGAGGGTATTGCCTAAATTCTGTCAGAGGAAGAACCAAAACCAGACCTTTCTGATTATCATGAGTCCTTGCCTTTTTAAAAAATCTCTCACCTGATACCTTTACTTTAATATCTTGCTTTCATGTTATATATTCCTACCAATCCCCATACAGTTTAAATTTTCCTTCCCATAAAAACACAAATTGAGTGAATTCTCAAAGTTTTATTCTTGTGTAGGCAGAAATATCCTTAATGGTAATAGTTTTGGTCTGTACTATCTCAATGCCCTGGAGAATCAGAATCCTCAAACATGTCAATATTTTTCATTAAAACTTTTCTGAAAGCATTATCTACAAATATTGCAAAGTGACCTAATGCATGTAAACAGGTAAGAATCTATATAATCAATCATAAATTATACCTGCCTCCTTGCCAAGTACTGCTTTGAAAATGAAGCATTACACACACACACACACACACCATGACACATACATACACTGCTGTTTAGAATGTAAGATTGTTGGTTTTTAATGGAATTAAATACTCCAGAATTTGCCCAGAAATATTCATGGTATTTATGGGGAATTAAAACTTCTAGCTATGCTCCACAAGTGTGATTCTAGATTTCAAAGAAGTAATAACTTTGTTTTATGGGAAACTTTGTTTTCATCTTCAATAACAAATACAGTGGAATTATAGTTTGTAACATTCTTATCTTGCTTGGTTATTGTGTTCATGAATCTTAGCAGGTACAACTGGGAGGAAACAGGCACAGTTTGTGAGGTCGTAAAGAATTCAGTCTTCATTTGCATGTTTCCCACCAAAAGAGCAATTATTAGTTACTATTTTAAGTACATGAGACTTTGTACTGCATTAAATTCTTATGACTATAGAAATAAGTAATTTATATGTGGCTTGATGAAATACAATCTTCTTCAAACATAAAAACATTATGGGTTTGTAGTGCAGAGAACTCTATTCCAGGAGAAAATCCCCGGATTAATCAGTGAAAATAGCTTCTCAGAGTGACATACTGAATTTTATTTAGATTGTATGCATTTTAGTCACATTGTAAGAGTTTCAAGTTAAACAATTGTTCCAGATAGAATTATTTATAAATTGTAAGATTTTAGTGAACTAGAAATTGCTTACTACCTTTCAATATTTACTTTTTTCCATGCCAGTTGATTATTGTTTATATTTCCTAATTTTATTGAACTATGACCTGCCTTTATGATTTTATTCAGTTTTTAATGTATTCTCAACAGTGGTTCAAATTTCAGTGTCTTCATCTCGTTTATTTAAGTGCATATAAAGGATAAACATCTGTAAATTTTACATTTTTTTATTTTGTTTTTTTTTATAGCGGTAAAATATACATACAAAATTTACCACATTTACCCTTTTGAAGTATACATTTAAGTAGTAATAACCACATTTACGTTCTTTTCTTTCCCTTAATTTTCCCATCCTTTCTATCCTTCCTGGCTTCTTTTAATCACCAATCTATTCTCTATCTTCAAAAAACCCACTTTTTAATTTGCCACATATGAGTGAAAGCATGAAATATTTGTCTTTCTGTGCTTGGCTTATTTCACTTAGCATAATAGCCTCTAGTTCCATCCATGTGGCTGCAAATGGGAGGATTTCAGTCTTTTTTATGGCCAAATAATACTTCACTGTGTATATGTAGCACATTTTCTTTAACCATTCATCTGTTGGTAAGAACTTAGGTAGATTCCATATTTTGGCTATTACGAATAATGCAGTGAACATGGGAGTGTAGATATCTTTTCAATAGTTGATTTTGTTCCTTTTGGATATATACCCAGTAGTGGAAGTGCTGGATTATATGGAAGTTTTATTTTTAGTTTTTTGAGGAGCCTCTACACTATTCTCCATAGTGTTTGTACTAATTTACATTCTCACAATACAGAATTTACATTCTCACAAACAAAATTTACATTCTCAGAAAAGTTTCAATGAAAAATATTGACATATCCACATCAGATTTTGATCCAAGCCATTTTAACTGAGGTAAGATGATATATCATTGTAATTTTGATTTGCATTTCTCTGATGATTAGTGATGTGAGCACTTTTTCATATACCTGTTAGTCATTTGTATGTCTTCTTTTAAGAAACATCTGTTCAGATCTTTTGTCTATTTTTAAATAGTATTATATATTTAAACTGGTCTTGAGCTTCCCGAATATTGATAGATTGAATTAATATTTACATAAATTCAAACAGAAACACTTTTCTTTCATCGGAATTTCTTTTAAAATCAGCAGTTGTGTGTTCATTGTTCCACAAGCCAGCAATGTCAGTAGACAATTAGATTTAAACACCATTTTAACTCCTAAAACTTTTTTACTTTCAGAAGATACATAATGAAAAGAGGTAGATACAAATTTTCATCCTTGTAGTTTGTCAGGATAAAGTACTCTATTCACCTATCCATTCATGTTACAGTTTGGCTGTGCTGCCACCCAAATCTTATCTCCCATAATTCCCGTGTGTGGTGGGAGGGACCTGGTGTGAGGTAACTGAATCATGGGGGCGAGTCTTCCCCATATTGTTCTCCTGACAGTAAATAGGTCTCAAGAGATCTTATGGTTTTATAAAGGGCAGTTCCCCTACACAAGCTCTCTTGCCTGCCCTCCCGTAAGACGTGACTTTTGCTCCTTATTTGCCTTCTTTCATGATTGTGAGGCCTCCCTAGCCATGTGGAACTGTGAGTCAATTAAAACTCTTTCCTTTGTAAATTACTCGGGTATGTCTTTATTAGCATCATGAGAACAGACTAATACAACTCACTCCTTCATTCATTCATTCAACAAATATTCAGTTAATTCTAGAAACACTGTACAGTGTTAACACCTTCATTCTAGCCCAGTGAGCCTAATTATTAAGTACCTGTCTAGAGGAAGATATTTACGAAAAAACAGTAGTCACTGTAAATTTTGTTGTGATTTCTGCTGCAGAAAAGCCACACAACAAACGTAAACCACGTTAAAGGGAAAATAACAATACTTTTTTCTCAAAATTTTATTTATTCCTCGAACAAAAGGTACATGTTTAGAAGGAAATAAGACTTTTTGGAAAAATTAGGGTGGCGAGCATGTGCTGAAATATCAATAAATGGAAGCACCACAATATGTTATGGGAGACATAATGTATTGACTGAAAGTAAAACTGAATGAAACATGTTTCTCTCAGACCCAGAGAGCAACAAACACAGCTGAAACAGGCAATTTAAATAAAATTGTGTTGTCTTATTTACGAAGAAATCTAGATAGTAACCAGTGATGAACATTTTAACACTAGTAAAGAATTAGTAATGGAATTTCAGAAAAACATACTCAATGTACTTAAATAGGATGGACTTTTTCTTTTAAATGATGAGATAATTGTCTCAGGGCTTTACATTTAAGTAATTTTCTGAAACCTAATGCTATCAAATTCCCAAATCTCTTCATCTAGTTTATATAAGTTCATATAAAGTATATACTCCTGCATATATATCCTTTTTCCTGCCACACCCTTTCCTGTGCAATTTCACTGGCCTTTAAATTCTCAGTCCTTGCACTCTGGGGACATTTTACTATATGCTTGTGTACTTTTGATGTTTGAATGATAAACACAGTCACATACAAAACAATGCTCAAAGATATGACAACTTTCCTAGGAATGTAAAAATCTGTTAGACTATTCACCAAAATGTGTTACAATAACTACCGTCCTAACATGTTTTTACACTGTGCAGGAAAATAAAGCAGTCAACTCAGAGAGAGAAGGACCATGACTTGGGATGTATGTGGTTCCCTAAAAATGTCTCTGAACTTCTGACCTCCTTGATCAACATTCTACTGGTTCTCTACCTTCCTGTAACAACACAGTTATGACAATCATACTACCTCTTCTTACACTGAGTGTAAGAAATGTATCTAAAAATCTAAAGGGTTATTTTTTGTTTAGTAATTCCACACTATTACATATGTTTAGAAACCTAATGGATCTTAATCACTTTGGCTCTTAGTAAAGAGTTTTGTATCTACTAAGCATGTTACCCACTGTATTTCTCTAAATGATAATAGGTCACTGTGATGTCCTTCGAAGGAAGAAATAACGCAGATTATTAAAGTTTTAAAATTTTGTAATATTTAATAATAAATATTTACAATATTTAAAACATAATATACCTAAAAATGATACAACATATTATAAGAAGATAATATATGGCAGGCTTATTTTCAATAGTAGAATTATTGGAAAACTAGACAAAGAAACAGAACTCCTGTATCTATCATGAGGCAAGCAATCACTGGAGGGAGTTCTTGCATATCAGTTTAACTAAATAAGGAAGAACTATTAGACAGAAACTAGCTGAACTGAATTATTTTCTTTATGACTTGGTGTATTTACTTAGAGCAGTATTTTTCAAACTAGAATAAATCTTTGGATATTTACTCTAGTGGGCACACAACTTCTAAGTTATATACACTGATACAATAAGAAATTTTATGTTTTAAAGAAGTAATCATTATAAAAAGTGCAATGCTTATGTTAAATCAAGAAGAAATATTGTCACCAATTTTTTTATTTTATATAGATTTTAACATATATAAGACAAAATATAGTTATTGGAAAAGTGAGATAAAGCCTAAAGAGCAGAAATGCTAATATTTTCTTCTGACATTTCAATGGGGGTGTATGCAGCTTCCTTTGTAGACCATTCCAGAGGAAAACCAATGGCAGTCAGTGATGCACTATGAGTTTATTGTATAGACCTGACAATTACAGATCAAGAATTTCCTTATATGTTAGTATTATCCTGAAATTTTAGCTCCTTGTTTCCTGATGTGGTTCCTACTCCTTAGCAGATAGTTTTATAACATTAAGAAAATCCAGAACCCATCTTTTGACATGGAAGGTTGCTTATTTGAGGGTTCCTCCACTCCTGGGCCATGGACCAGTACCAGTCTGTGGCCTGTTAGCAACCAGGCCACATAGCAGAGGGTGAGCAGTGGGCCAGTAAAGCTTCATCTGTGTTTACAGCTGCTCCCATCACTTGCATTATCACCCGAGCGCCACATTCTGCCAGATCAGTGGCAGCCTTAGACTCTCATAGGGGCGTGAACCCTATTGTAAACTGTATATGCGAAGAATCTAGGTTGTCTGCCCCTTATGAGAATCTAATGCCTCATGATCTGCCACTGTCTCCCATCATTTCCAGACAGGACCATTTAGTTGCAGGGAAACAAGCTTAGGGCTCCCACTGATTCTACGTTATGGTAACGTGTATAATTATTTCATAATATATTACAATGTAATAATAATAGAAATGAAGTGCACAATAAATGTAATGTACTTGAATCCTCCCAAAACCATCCTCTTACCTCTCGTCTGTGGAAAAATTGCCTTCCATGAAACTGGTCCCTGGTGCCAAAAAGATTGGGGATCACTGGCTTATTCCATTGTTAGGTTGCTAAATATAAAGTTGGCACACACCCTTGAATAAACAGGAAGTTGTATCTTTACACTTGTGTTACTGATATGTATAAATCATTTTGTTGTTTATTCATTTGATAGCAAACTAAGTGAAAGCAACTTTAACCTGAGTTCAAGTTGTCATTGATCATATCGGTTATTGAGTCCAAATAGATTTGGGGGCCTTTTTAACTTATTACTGTGGCTCAATGCTGGTGATTTCAATATGTTTAATTTGAGTCTGTATTTTAAATCAAATTTGTGCAAAGTAATACTTGACTCTGTAGGTTAATGAGAAACAATAGAGGGATGATAGATAAAGGGTAAGCTGGCACCACTTAAAGGCCAGCAAGATATACAAATGAGCCAGAAAGAGTAAGTATAAGCAAGCTGAACTGTAATGAATCTCTGTGCAGCAGATAATCCCATATTCATTGTTCATGTTACTCACAGTGTGGGCAACATTTAATTTAAGCAGCAATATCGTTCATCAGATTAGATTTAAATTATCACTGTGTGTCATATTTTTTAAAAGAAACTTGTAAAATGTTCAAATTTGAAAAATACTAATAAGGGCATTACTGATAATATAATTAATATTAAGTTGCATTATGATTATATTACACTATTAGGCCAGGCGCAGTGGCTCACACCTGTAATTCCAGCACTTCGTGAGGTCAAGGCGAGTAGAGGGCTTGAGCTCAGGAGTTCAACACCAGCCTGGGAAACATGGTGAAACCTCATCTCTACAAAAGATATAAACATGAGCCAAGCATGATGGCTCATGCCTGTAGTCCCAGGTACTTGGGAGGCTGAGTTAGGAGGATCAACCTGAGCCTGGGAGGCCCAGGATGCACTGAGCTATGATCACTCCAGTCTGGGCAACAGGGTGAGACCCTGTCTCAAAAACATTTATAGTATTAGCTTATAATATAAAGAGTAAAACACCTATAGGCTCCAAAATTACTTGTAATCATGTAAGAGTGATGATGATGTTGATAGAGCTAACTTAGTTTCAAACAACTGTTGATTGTAGATTATTTTCCATTTAATTTAAGTTTCTCAACCAGGGAACAACTGAAATGATTTGTAATTTCATAAAGCATTGTGAAAGGCCATTTCATTGTCCATAGGAAATAAACTTGAAATCAGATTCCCTCTACCAAGTGCATGATAGAATGCCACTCTCACAATGAACCATCCAACTTTTATTAGAAACTACTGTTTCTCCATAAAACCAAACTCTTCCCTGCATTTTTGGTCATGCTCAGAAAAAAATATTTATTTTTTACTATGATTTAAGCAGTTTATAGACTGTCAAGACCATGACTCTTCACATTAATATGGTTTCCTTATTTCCAAAGACCAATTGATGTTCTTTTATGAAATGTAAATTATAGAAAAAGAAATCCTTCATGTTTTTGGATGATTACGGTCAGAGATCAATTTTGAAAACTATGTTATAGTAATTCCTAGTAATAACAACAGTAATAACAAATTTTGATAAGAAAAAGGACCATTATTTTGGGTAATTTTTTTTCACTTTGTTGGATTTTTTCTTTCTACTTCTCTTTCACACATTTCCCCAAACATACATGCTCGTGCACTGTAGTTACTTAAAACAGGATGAATTTACATATGTAAGTAATTCGACATTATATAATCCCAGAGGCTGATGCTTCTTTTGGTTATAAGAAATGTTTTTCTCTGGAGTAAATGGTCCGTGGTTAGCAAATATATCAATGGAGGTACAGTGGTACAGTAGTCTGCCTGTAGAAGTGCAAAGACTGGAAAGGAAGAGAAGATAGCTAAACAAAGAGGTTTTGAATTTTCCTTGGTAACAGATTATTTCAAACTGGCATTCTAGTATAAACATTAAGCAACTGGGAGGAGGAAGGAGAAACAGAGCCAGAGAGAGAAAAGGAGAAAATGAGGGGAGAAAGAGAGTGATGAAAAGGCAGAATTCCGGGAAGGGGAAGAGAAGAAGAATGAGGAAAGGAGAGGAGGAGAGAGAGAAGAAAGAGAACTGCCCAGCAATATAGCAACCCATGAGCGGCCTGCAGAAAAATGCCAACCTGAAAGTACTATTGGCAGACATCAGACAATGTTGGTTATATTTCTGTATTATTTCTAACGTTTATAACTGAACCTTAGTTTATAGTACACATCGATTCAGCCATAGTACTCGAATGAGTGATTTTATACACGTATCTGGCTTTGTTATTTGTAGATAGAAATTTTCCACTTAGCTATGCGTGCGCACGCACACACACACACACACACACACACACACACAGACACACACACACACACACACACACCAAAAAGGGCAGTGTTCAGATATGAAATTCCTATTTATCTCCATAATGGATGAAATTAATAGATTAAATCATATTCATTTTTGAATGTAAGCTTAACAATAATATATATACTATGTGTGCATGATATTACATCACTGTTGCAAGGCTCATAAAAAGTATGGAATATTAAAGATTAATAAAACTAGTAGGCAAATGTAAATATGTATAACTGTAAGCATGTGTATATGTATATATGTTTTAAAATCATGAAAGGCCACTTGGAAGTCAACATAGAAAATGCAAAATGGCTTTGAATTTATTTCACGTTCTGTTAATGAAATATCGCTGACAAAAAACATCCAGAAAGTATTTATATTTCTTTAAAATGAAATGAGTGTGGAGCTCACAAAGGCAATGTGTCTCCTCTGTAAACACAGAGAAATGATACTTTTACCTTTTCATAGCTATCCAACCACCTAAGCCATTACTGTCACTGAGGAATGTGACTTTTTAAAAATTCCTTGTATAATGTTAATGATATTCAATCATGTTATTACCCTAAGTGTATATCCTTGTACTTGTATTTGGATGGCAAAGCAACTTCAATCATACCATTGCCAATGGAAATGCAGCAGATCTGACAATTTTTGTAATGGGTTTATTACTACAACAAGGGCTTTCAAGTTAATCATTATATTGACTGCTTTTTAAGTTTGGATGAGCTAAATATCCTAGCATGATATTTTATCTCCTTTCCATGTGCTGTTTTCCAATATGTAAACAATTATGTTTGTTTCCTGACAAATGTTACTGTTTGTACTGAATTTTTAGAATATAGTTTGACTTTTCTCCCTCCATTCTTTTTCTTTTTTAAATTTTAAGACATTTAAAATAAAGATGTGCTTTTCTATAGAACACAATGCTTTGAACTGATTTCTCCTACTTTGAGGTAAAGGCAACAACGTTTGAAAGTAACATTTTCAGAACCAGTTTCAATTTCAAGGTCTCTTTCAATTTCCTTTCCTTTCAGTATTAATGATACAAAGTGAAATTGTACTCCACAGGAGCTCCAAACTTTTATTATTTTTTAAAAGGTAGAGCAGTAAGAAAAGCTTAGCATTAAATTATATAATCTTAGCAGGTAGTAAAACTAATTGTGCTTTTTTATTTAAAAAAATTAAATGGTTTCATAGAGTCAGAATAGATGGGAATAGCTGAAACTGTGGAAAGAGTTCTGAAGCTACACACACACACACACACACACACGCTCAAAATTAGATTTATTGAGGTCAAGAACCAAGCACTCATATCTTTCTATTATCACATAGCACTGAACAGAAAAGTAGTAGGACATTCCTTAGTGGGATGATGAGTAACTCCAAAATGTAATAACTTTATCCCCAAGAACCAAAAGAAAACAAAGCAATCAACTGAATTCTGATTGTACCAACAAGATGGTAATATGAGAATTAATCATAACCAAAGAAAACAGATTAGAAATGGATTGGAAGGGACATTAAGTTAGGTATGGAATGAACAATACAATCTAATGAAATAAATGAAAGTTACCTTTTGTCTCATTGCTTACAGAACCCCATCTCCATATTTGTAGACATGCAAAATATCTCCTCTCCACACTGTGATTACCTTCATATGGAAAAGGGTTTCATATGGTACACATGTGACTATCCTTGGATGTAATATTTTACAAGGAGAATTACAAAGAAATACATTTGGCCTTCTGCAGGCTTGAGAGCTGAGAATAAATACAGATGTGCACTAAGAACCTACATCTGGGAAAATCTCAAAGATGTGAACAAAATTATTAACCCAAGGAGTTCTATTATTTTTACTTTAAAAAATTCTTCTAGAGACATTTTTTCATACAGACCATCTATCTTTTAACCCGCTTTTTCTAGTCTTTCACTTTGCAATGTTGTATCTTGGTTTCTTTTTTAAAAAGCGGGTACATTCACATGTTCCTCTATTCTCCACTAGCCTTAGAAGTAAGACAAGTCATTTCAAGGTTTTCTAAACTTTTTAATTAGTAGCAACTAAGGGAAAGAAATTCCACACAGACACATGAGGAGAAGTTGCAATAGCTCTTATAACTTTTATAATAGTGTTTCTGGTACTCAGTCTTACTAGGTTAGCTTTCTCTAAAGCTTCAGTATAGGAACTAATTGGCATCTCCTACCTTGAGGATTATTCCCACTAAACCTCTGCAACCCTGTTATTTTTAAATGTTGGTTTTCTTCTGTTTTCTCAGATAGTTCCCGTTCCACTGTCCCCATATTGCTACATAAAAACAAGCCTTCATTGTTTATATCCTACAGAGACTAATACTGTGCAGTAATAAATAGTGGCTATTTGGGCATACAAATCATTCAAGGGGAATTAATTTATACTGTAGGGTAAGTGCTATATGGATGCCAATCAATGTGTTCCTTCTTTCTACAAAAGTTGCTAGGTATTTTCTTCATTTGTGCAGCCTAAAAAAAGTTTATGGGTTTTAGGGTGAGCAACTCTCAGCAGAAACATTCTGATGTCTCAATTTGGCAAAAGTTTCTAAGAAAGGAATTAACTCTATTTACTGTAGATTTCTATAACTTCTCTTACACTGTGAAAATGAAAAATGCATTTTCATTTTGAGAGGTCAATGTAGTAGTCTTTAAGCATCATAAAAACTCTAACTGAAATTAAGTAAACTATTACTGATAATCTGTGAGAGACTTATAATCAAAATTAAAATTTAAAATAGCTGTACAAACCTGAACTAAAATTTGCATTAAATATTCAAGTAGGATAGAGTTTCAATATTTAAAATAAATTATACTTTAAAATTTATGTCATGAATGCAAGGAGTAATAGGGAACTAATTGTGATGGTCCACCTTAGGTATATGTTAAATATTATTTGGGAAGACTGTATAAATTTGGGAGTTTATGTAATAATGATACCTTTTTTTCTAGCAGCAGTATTTCAAATGAACATTTACACACACAAAAATACACACACACAGAGAGATACACAAAGTTACTTTGTTCAGTGTAGTCCCAACATGGCATTTATAAATATTTAAATTATTAAAATAATTGTTTAAATTACACAAATGACATTACAGAAAGGAAATGAGCTAATTTTCTTCTTTCAATTAGTAGTTTAGAATAATTTATATTTGGGTACGTTGAAATAAGATATTGGAATCTATAAAGGACTTAAACAAATTTACAAGAAAAAACAAAAAACCTCAACAAAAAGTGGGTGATGGATATGAACAAATACTTCTCAAAAGAAGACATTTATGCAGCCAACAAACATATGAAAAAAAGCTCATCATCACTGGTCATTAGAGAAATGCAAATCAAAACCACAATGAGATATCCTCTCATGCCAGTTAGAATGGCGAAATAGGAATGCTTTTACACTGTTGGTGGGAGTGTAAATTAGTTCAACCATTGTGGAAGAGAGTGAGCTGATTTTTCAAGGATCTAGAACCAGAAATACCATTTGACTCAGCAATCCCATTACTGGGTATATACCCAAAGAATTAAAAATCAATCTACTGTAAAGACACATGCATACATATGTTCACTGCAGCACTATTTACAATAGCAAAGACTTGGAACCAACCCTAATGCCCATCAGTGATAGGCTGGATAAAGAAAATGTGGCACATATACACCATGGAATACTATGCAGCCATAAAAAAGAATGAGTTCATGTCCTTTGCAGGAAAATGAATGAAGCTGGAAACCATCATTCTCAGCAAACTAAAACAGGAACAGAAAACCGAACACCACATGTTCTCACTCATAAGTGGGAGTTGAATAATGAAAACACATTGACACAGGGAGGGGAACATCACACATTGGGGTCTGTCGGGGGTGAGGGGCAAGGGGAGGGAGAGCATTAGGACAAATACCTAACGCATGCGGGGCTTAAAACCTAGATGACAGGTTGATGGGTGCAGCAAACCACCATGGCACATGTATAGCTGTGTAACAAACCTGTACATTCTGCACATGTATCCCAGAACTTAAAGTATAATTTTAAAAAAAGTAGACAGTGTTCAAAATTGCAGGCTAATAGCTAAACTACTTTAAAAAAGCATGGCACACTTAGTTGAAATTGTAATCTTTAAATAAATGATATTAAATGCTTATATGAGAGGAAAAAAGTGACACTTCATTAGTTAATCATATATTTTAGGAAGACATGGAAAGAATACCAGAATAAAATAAAAATTATAGAAGGAATGAACGCACAAAGGAAAAAGCAAACATTGAAACAGAAAAGGAAGGCAAAATAGTGAGGATTAAGAAAAGGGAAAATGAAGTGAGCCAATTTCTGTCAAATAGAACAATCAGGAGAGAAAACAAAAATGAACAACACTCAAAAAGAAAATGTGACATAGTCAATGGGTAGAGAGTTTTAAAGTATCATAACGATCTGTTATGAACAACTCAAAACTAGAATTTTTAAGCAAGGCAATTGAAATACTTTTTGAAAATATAAACTGCAAATAACTCATAAAGATTGTAAGAGAAAGAATATACCATAAGCAAAACAACAAAGAATATACCGTAAGCAAACAAAGTAATTTTAACACATTTCAAAATTAAATTTTTAGGCTCAGATCATTTTAGAAGATCTTTAAATAATAAATAAGGCCAGTATACAAACTTCTAGAGGTGACAAAATATACACACGAAAAAATGCCCACAAGCGATGCATGATCATATTGATATATTTAACTACAATAAAATTAAGTTGTTGTATGAATCAAATATCATCATTAAAAGATATAAAAAGACATGAAATATACTATTAGGAGAAGATATCTGCAAGCATATCAGGCATTAACATGCAGACTATCTAAAGAACTTTAAAAAATTAATATAAAATATAAAATAATTCTAAATTAAAACAAGAAAAAGGCATACAGAGTATGCAAACTACATAAAAAAGAAATAGTCATTAAATACAAGAATAGCTAATCATCCACATAATCAGGAAAATATAAAAATTTTAATGTTTGACAATACCAACATTGGAGATAGTAAGTACTACAAAGAAAATTAGTTTAGTAAACTAGGGCTATAGGTATCAATGTGGGTGAGCCATACGAGTAAAAGTAAGAGAAAAAGCAATTTGAAGAAAATGTGTATGGTAGGAACATATTTATATAAATTCAAATTTAAAACATCTAGATACTAAGCAATTTATTGTTTAGGGTTGCTTTCTTATGTGATACAAGTAACAAGAAAGCTAAGAATATGATACACTTGAAATTCAGGATATGTGTTGCCTCTCCAGTGGTAGCAAAAAAGTGACGTGATTGGAAAGGTGGTGGTATTATTCTCTGTTCTAAACTAAATGGTTTGTGCCAAACTGTTCTTATTATTATCTTTTAAGTTATAGAAATTGTTATACAAACTCTTTAGAATGTAGGAAATGCTTCAAAATTATAAAAATAAAGAAAAGACATCAGAAGACTATTTGATTTATTTGGGGGAGAAAAAGTGATGGGTAGAAATCATCAATCCCAGCAATGCTCTAGAGCTAGGCTCAGAGTACACATGAATAATGATGAGTTGAATAAAAATAAAAGACAATGTCTATGACTACTTTAACAGCTTAAACTATTTTCTAAATTATAATGAAAATATATTCTAGCTTGCTCAGGGTTTTGTAAACTAGTTGCTATTTTCCATGATAATTTAATTTATTTCAGGGCACCATGTGTATTTCTATAAGGAGCATGAAAATAGCAAATTTTTGTTTTATTTCTTTTTCTCTTTAGTCATTCTTTAGATATGAAACCTTTTTGTGGTATCTTTTGCTGGCTATCATAATAGGAACACAGTGGCTTTAGCTGAGGAGGCTCATTATAATCTGAGCCAATTAATTGTCAAATTAATTACAATTTATCTCGCCACAGAGAATGACAAAGCATAGAAAACCAACCAGAAAATATCCCAGTGGACTTCCCCCAGGGCTTTTAAAGCATTAACCACAAGATTTAAGGACTCTTATAAAAGATTGCTTTTTTACCTTGCTCAGACTTTGCTAGCTTCTTACCAAATACTTCTTAATACTTTTTTTTTTTACCAAAATACTTCTTAATACTTTCTTTTCCTCACATAGACAATTGCTACAACTTGACTAGTGAAATGGAACTCATGGACATTAATTGTCTTCTTCCCTGGTGTTTCAAGAAATTGCTCTCAGCTCCGTAATTATCTAATACTGTAAAGTAACCAAAGTCAGCACTTAACGTTAGTATTAGATCCATTACTATGTAGCTTGTTTTGAGTATTAATAAATTTAGGCAATGTCCAATTTTTAAATTAAAATTTAATTTGCATTAAAAACAGTAAAAATATTCTGAGCAGAAAATCTTCACATTGTCAGAGGCCTTGTTTTGAAAAGTATATTTTTAAAAATTAATAGCTGGTTGCCACACAGGAAACAAATATGAATGAAAGCATGCCTATAAACCACTTGTTTCTAACAAAAAATAGACATCTTTGCAACTCCGTCCTCAAGAAAATAAACACATAAAACTAAATAAAATTGTTTCAATCGATCATAATTTCTAGGCAGAACAACTAAAAGTAAAGATTTAATTTCCTTGTTGTCTTGACACTTAACCCCTATACAACACCCTAAGTTTAGGAATATTTGTGACACAGTATCAGTTGGTACATCTCACAGTGATGGTAGGAGGCACTCATGTTGAAATTCTTATTCATCAAGGAGTCATAAATAGGAAGGAGAAAAAGGAGTTCCAAATTCCAAATTCCAGATAAATATTGTAATTTCCTTGTTTCATAAACACTGTTCTCTTTTGAGTCAGGCATTCCTTTAATTTTCTTTCTTTGAGGACTTATTGTACCTACTGAGCTTTCATGCTTTCTTCCTTATAACCAATGAAAGGCATACAAGAGGCTACTATCTCAGTGCATGAGACATTTTTCCTCTATGTGAAACTAACTTGTTATTGGTTTATCACCGAATATTGCAAATACTTTATTCAATCTGTTTTTCTTCTTCTTTGATATATTTCTATTTAGTGATTACCATTAAAATTGCAAGTGTTAAGCATGATGATTTCTAAATGTACACTGCCAACCCAATGGGGCCAGAAAATCTACATTTATTGTTTCAGAAGACAAATATGGATGCCCATGTTAAATCATTAGACCTTAACCCATTAAAATTATGAGACCATAAATCAAACTCCTCATCCTTCCAGCATCTTTACCTCTGTCTGATTCTATACATTTTAATGAACACATCCAGGCTGAAAACAATAGTGATGACATTGTATTTCCAGCTTTCTTTTTGCTCCTCCATTGAGTACATATTCAAATTCTGTCAATTCTACTTCTGCGAGGACTTTCCTGATTTTCCCTTTCTATCCTGTTTACCACCAAGATGGGCTGAGTCTATCTTACCGGCCAAACTCTGTCTTAGCTACTTTCCACTCCTTATCTCTTTAATGCTCACCAAAATATTCTGAATTGGGTTTCTTTACATTGGTGTTACAGATATATGGTATGAGGGTTGAAGAGATTAGGTTAAGGTAAACTAGTAGGTGCAGAAGTTAAGATTCAAACTCAAGCCAAGCCCTTGTCGTTTAAAAGAGAGTTTAAACATTCAAGATAGATAGTTCTGGGTTTGTTCCTTGTTCTGTCACTTATTAGCCATATATTAGACAACTATCTTAGTATCGCTAAGCCTCATTTTATTCATTCAAAGTGGATATAGTTAATATTGTTTGGGCTTGTAAATGATTAGCACATTTTAGCATATATTAATATGCTCAATGAATACCTTATTTTAAGATACAATCATTAGTATGATTGTATTATTGTAACATTATTTAGTTGGTCTCCTCAAAACAACTCCCTGGTTCAAACAATATATTTTCCTTCAATTCCAACTCTGATTATGCCACTTTCTGGCTTAAAAATCCTGAGTGACTCCAGTGGTATCCTATTTTCAACAGAATAAAGGCAAACGTTCTATAACAGAATAGGGGATTTATATTCTGGCCACAAACAGCACCCACATTTAGTCCCACTATTTCTCATTTACCTTGTAATTCAATTAACACAGGCAACTTACCATTCTCAAAAATGTCCTGATATTTTCAGCCAAGTCTGAGCTTAGGCTGATCCACTGCCCTAGAATACACTGCCCAGCTAGCTTTGCTACAGTTCTGTCCAGTGATCGCAGAAGACTCAAATACCGCATCCTCCATTAAACACTCCTGGTTCCTAGAGGAATAATTACTGTCACCCTGTCTTGGTCCCCATTGTGTACAATCATGTTGGCATGATATATATTGCATTCTGCCTTGTAATGCAGATAACTGTGAATATGTCCTGTCTCTACTACTGAAATCAGGAACTGAATACTTTACATATTTGTATGAACTCTATAATAAAGACAGATTCACAAAGGAAAAGGTATTACTGGTATGTATTTTCTCAACTTTTTAATTCTTATTTTAAAATGTACTTTTATACAATTTTGGCAATTTTTTAAGTGGAGAATAACCCTATTTGCTTCCATAAAGGAATCTCTTTAAAACAGATGACTTTTCCTTCCATTGATAAAGTTAAATGTGTGGTGCTACTTGAAATAATTCAGAAGAAATGAAAACCTAGATTACTTACAATGATATTTTCAATAAAAGAAAAATTATGATTAACTGTATCCTGTACAGTAACTGTCCTCTTGCAAGTAAGTTTGAGGTTCTCTGAGGTCACTGCTGACTGCCAAAATACATGAAAATAGAGCTTCTCTTTTCAAACAAGCAAAATTCTACTTACTAAAACAATTTAATTGACACAGTGATACTCTTTGTTTACATGGAATATAAACCATTCTTATTATAAGCCTTTGATACTGCCTGTTTTTCTCCTTGATCAACTGAGGACTTTCAAATAGTACATTGAATTCTCACAGCTGGGCACCTAAAGATTTCATGATGTTCTAAATGTAATCCCTCCCTGACAAGGGAGATCTAGGGAGTTCTATAACAGGGTATCAAGACCATCATTTCAGGGAAGTATTGCTGATGGCTCCTCTCTCCTGCACAGGCTTGCTGTGACTGAGCTCCTAACTACCACATTCTCTGTTGTGTGCCCTATGTCAAACTCCACATTGTGATGTAATTATCCAATCCCACATTTCCTCCAGGAGTAAGCCACTGCTGTCTATGCCATTTTTCTCAAGATGACTGCTACCCATAGAACTGAATCCAGAGATTTGGTACCCTCTCTCCACTGTCGAATATCTTGGATAAATGCTCATTCCCGCAAGCCCGGGCCATTGCCCAGGTCTTATGCTACACTTGCCAATTGCATGCTGGGTCACCCACCTAGAAACTGCCAGCAACTTTCACATACTGCTTGCTTGACTGGCTGGGCCATCCACCCAATTCTTGCTGCCTGGACTCCTTTGCATTACTAAATCTATACTAGCTGATATGCATCAAATCTGGATTCCATTTACCACAAACCAGACTTTGTGTTTATCTCTAACTCTGAAAATGATTCATACCTCATTGAGTCTGAGGTATGAAATATTCTAAAAACAGATTTTTCTACTAGTTTACCAAATACAACAAACTTATTTATTATCATAAAATATAGAAAAGTAATAGTTTCATTTACCAGTGTAGCCTCTCATCTTCTGTACTAACGTTCATAGGATAAATAATGTCTTATTTTCTAAAGACACAAACTTAGTAATATTGAGGTTTTTTTTTTCTTTCTCATTCAACCCTTATTCAAATTAGGAATCAAATTTTAAGATTTTATTTTATAATAGGTTTCTTCTTTTCTGTTCATAACAACCTGTCTCCTGTTTAATGATATGATAATTCTTAAACATATTTTGACTGGAATTTTTTTCAGATATTTACATTACTAATGGAAGAGTCCTTCTTAAATATAGTAACCTTATCATTTTCTTTTTTTTTTGTTTTTCTTTTTTTATTATTATACTTTAAGTTCTAGGGTACATGTGCACAACGTGCAGGTTTGTCACATATGTATACATGTGCCATGTTGGTGTGCTGCACCCATTAACTCATCATTTATATTAGGTATATCTCCTAATGCTATCCCTCCTCCCTCCCCCCACCCCACGACAGGCCCCAGTGTGTGATGTTCCCCTTCCTGTGTCCAAGTGTTCTCATTGCTCAATTCCCACCTATGAGTGAGAACACACGGTGTTTGGTTTTTTGTCCTTGTGATAGTTTGCTGAGAATGATGGTTTCCAGCTTCATCCATGTCCCTACAAAGAGAAGATTTCAAATGGCTGTTGGAACTAACTGAAACTTATTTCCCTGTGTTTTCAAGACCCTCTATTAACTGTTTTTTTTAAATATCTGTTAACTTATCATCTTTGTTTTCATCATCAAATTTGTACAATATATTACTTTTTCACTTTATAGTTTTGAGCCTATGGTTTTCAACTCATAAAATACATAGTAAAATAAAGGCATGAAAACGTTCATGTTAAGACATCAGTAAATTACTTGTATCTAGATCAAGCCTTAATACCAGCCTAGGTTCATATCCATTGAAAACACTACGTAGGAAGGAAAATCAAACCAAATAGCCTGCTAGCTTTGGACTCCAAGTTTATAATACAGATTTTGTTTTCTACTTTTGTCTTATATGCAAAATACACAAATCACTTGCTTCAAGATGAAGTTCAAAACTATCCTCAAATTATTCTTTCTTTACAAAGTAAATCAGTTCTGGCTGGGTGCGGTGGCTCATGCCTGTAAACCCAGCACTTTGGGAGGCTGAGGAGGGCAGATCATGAGATCAGGAGATCGAGACCATCCTGGCTAACACGGTGAAACCCCATCTCCAAAAAAAAAAAAAAAATACAAAAAAATTAGCCGGGTGTGGTGGTGAGTGCCTGCATTCCCAGCTACTCAGGAGGCTGAGGCAGAAGAATAGCACGAACCCGGAGGTGGAGCTTGCAGTGAGCCCAGATTGCACCACTGCACTCCAGCTTGGGCATCAGAGCGAGGCTCCATCTCAAAAAAAAAAAAAAAAAGAAAAGAAAAAGAAAGTAAATCAGTTATGTTACTAATTGATTCTGCCCTCACCAGTTAAAAGACAATATAATAATTGTCAATTAAATATTTTTTAATCATTTGTAAGGTTGTGTAATACATTCCTTGAGGCAAAACTAGATGTATGAGAAAAACTGTCACCTCTTAATTTTGGAGTTGACTTATATACATAAAGATGCTAACTGAGAATTAAGGTCAGTGATTATGCAGGGACTCAAGTTAAAAAGAAATAACCATCTGCTGGAGTCATTAGGGGATGTGTCATATTCTTATAAAAAGTAGAACTTAAAATGTGGGTAGATTCAGGAAAAGTATTTTAGTAAAGGCATAGAAGCTAAGAAAAATAGGTCATGGTAGACATGAGATAGTCATAGTTGAAAACTATATAGTGGGCAAGTCTAACAAAAAACAGTGCATATTGAGAATTGGGAAGGATAGATATTGAAATGCAAACTTGAGCTGGCTCACAAAGAACATTGAAATAAGAAATTTGGTTTTATCAGAGTAAACAGACAACCTACAGAATGGGAAGAAACTTTTGCAAACTATTTATCTGACAAAGGTCTAATATCCAGTATCTATAAGGAACTTAAGCAAATTTACAAGAAAAAAACAAACAACCCATTAAAAAATGGGCAGATGACATGAACAGACACTTTTCAAAAGTATACATACATGCGGCCAACAAGCATATGGAAAAAACTGAACATCACTGATCATTAGAGAAATGCAAATCAAAACCACAATGAGATATCATCTCACACTAGTCAGGATGGCTTCATGCCTGTAATCCCAGTACTTTGGGAGGCTGAGGAGGGCAGATCACTTGAAGTCAGGAGTTCAAGACCAGCCCAGCCAACATGGTGAAACCCCATCTCTACTAAAGCTGGGTGTGGTGGCACACGTCTGTATTCCCAGCTACTCAGGAAGCTGTGGCAAGAGAATTGCTTGAACCTGGGAGGTGGAGGTTGCAGTGAGTTGAGATCTTGCCACTGCACCCCCACCTGGGTGACAGAATGAGACTCTTTCTCTAAATAAGTAAATAAATAAAAATAAAAGTTAAAAAATAACAGTTGCAGAAGAGGTTGTGGAGAAAAAGGAATGCTTATATACTATTGGTTGGAATGTAAATTAGTCCAACCACTGGGGAAGACAGTGTGGCAATCCCTCAAACACCTAAAAACAGAACTACCATTCGACCCAGCAATCCCATAACTGTATATATACCCAAAGGAATATACATCATTTTATTACAAAGACACATACATGCATACAATCATTGCAGCACTCTTCAAAATAGCAAAGATATGCAATTGATCTAAATGTCTATTAATGGTAGGATGGATATAGAAAATATAGTACATATACACCATGGAATACTATAACAAGAATGAGATCATATCCTCTGCAGGAACATGGATGTAGCTGGAGGCCATTATCCTTAGCAAACTAATATGGAAACAGAAAAGCAAAAAACAAATGTTCTCACTTATAAGTGGGAGCTAAAAGATGAGAACACATGGACACATAGAAGGGAATGACAGATACTGGAGGGTGGAGGGTGGGAGGAGGGTGATGGCATTAAGGGCCACAGGAATATTAACAGGTCAAAACATGACCATATCTCTGACCTAATTGATAGATAATATTTCACCATCTTTAAAAACATAATTAGTTTCTAGGAGCTTATATACATGAATAATCTTTCTTATATATCTTGAGTTTTTAGGTATACAGTTAAATTTTATTAATAAACAAATGAAAGTTATTGAAACTGAATTTAATTTTGATTGCCTTACAAAAGGACATTGATTTTTATCTCAGTAGCATTGGTTGGAGAAGAGAATGATAAAATGAGATAAGGCATGAATAATTCTCCAAAAAAAAGATATATTGTAGATAGCTTAGGCCAATTATATCTAAGTATTAGAAATAATGAGCATTTAACTTCAGTCAAAAAACTCGTATTCTGGCCGGGCACGGTGGCTCATGCCTGTAATCCCAGCAACTTGGGAGACCGAGGTGGGTGAATCACTTGAAGTCAGAAGTTTGATGCCAGCGTGGCCAACATGGTGAAACCTTGTCTCTACTAAAAATACAAAAATTAGCCAGGCGTGGTGGTGTGCACCTGTAGTCCCAGCTACTCGGGAGGCTGAGGCAGGAGAATTGCTTGAACCCAGGAGGTGGAGGTTGTAATGAGCTGAGTTTGTGCCACTATACTCCAGCCTGGGCAATAAATAGAGCAAGACTCCATTTCAAAAAATACTAATAATGAAAATAAAATAAAAAAATAAAAAATAAAAATAAACTCGTATTCTTTTCAATACATTAATATTCTTTGCCTTAAAAGTATTTACTCTTTAACAGTATGATTCAGAATCTCTACCTCAAAATAGAAAATTTGGTTCAAATGAAAGTATGCCTTCACACACACACACACACACACACACACACACACACACACACACATTGATAGAGGGAGGTGGTACTGAGGATAAGGCTATGTCTGAATTTGTTGTTAATGCTCTTGCTATTCCAGTCTAATTGTGGAAGTGGCCAAGGAAGAGTCCAGTTACAAACATAACCAAGATTTTTTATCCCTAACACTCTTGCTTTCCTTAATTTGTTTTATTGAGGAACAGAATACCTCTTTCATACCTTGAAATAGGGATGACATTTGAATTTCAAATTCAAATAGGTATTTCATATGAATTGAAATATATATGAAATACCTATTAAAATACCTATTGAACACCTCTTTTATACTATTTCAGAGTAATATAGAAAATTGTCGGTAGCTATGCAACACCATTGTTCTAGAATTGGGGTAGAGTTTGAAGGAGGATGAAATTCTCCTTGTGCACTAGTGTGTTAATGTTGTACTACCAGAAAAAAAAAATGAGAATGAAGAATATGAGACTGTCAAAACTTTTTGGCACATAATTGAAATTATTTCCCACAAAATTATATTTGTCCAAAAAATAAAGTCAAAAAGCAAAAACTGTGACTAGAATATTTTTTCTATGGACATATAAGTAACATAGTAGATAAATAGTTCTCAATTCTCAATTCCATTCAAATTTCTCATATTTATTCATTAATAGGTCTGAGGGAAATATTCAAATTATAGAAGTTCAAGAAAAACACAGAGATAAAAAGCCATAAAGCTTATTTAATAAAATAATGGAATAAAACTGCTCAAATCTAAGGAAAAATACAAATATTCAGGCAGAGGAAGGCCAAACAAGACTACACTAAGACATGTTATAGTCAAAGAGTCAACAATCAAAGACACAGGATCTTGAAAGCAGCAAGAGAAAAGCATACAAAATAATCTTGAAGGACTTGAAGAAGGCACCAATAAATGGAAAGCTTATCCCCACTGATGAAGTAGAAAAATTAATATTGTTGAATGTCTATGATATCCAAAATGATCTGCAGATTCAATACAATTCCTAACAAAATTCCAAGGACATTTTTCACAAAAATAGAAAAAAATTTTTAAAAGATATTAAAATGTATATGAAACTACAAAAGATCCCAAATAACCAAAGCAATCTTGAGGAAAACAAAACAAAGCAAGATATATTACAAAGCTATAGTAATCACAACAGCATGATACTAGCATAAAAACAGACACACAGACCAATGGAATAAAATAGTGAACACAGAAATAAATTCTTGCATTTACAGGCAATAGATTTTCAGCGAAGTTTCTAAGAACGGACAATGGGGAAAGGGCAGTCTCTTCAATAAATAGTGTTAGGAAAACTAGATATCTATAGGCAGAAGCATGAAATTAGAGCCTCATCTCACACTATATAAAAAAACAACTTAAAATAGATGAAAGACTTAATTGTAGGATCTAAGCCCATAAAATGACTAAAAGAAAACATAGAGGGAACTTCTATGATGTTGGTCTGGGCAAGATTTTTAGATATGACCCAAAAACACAAGCAACAAAAGTAAAAAAACCAAATGGAATTACATCAAGCAAAAAACTTTTATACAGCAATGGAAGCAACAGAGTGAAGAGACAACATATGAAATGGGAGAAAAATTGGCAAACTATACATCTGGTAAGAGGTAATACTAAAGTATATATCAAACTCAAGTATCTCATAGTAAGAAAACAAATAACTCATCTTAAAAATGAGCAAAAGGCCTGAATAAACATTTCTCAAAAGAAAACATAAATGACCAATAGGTTTATAAAAATAACATCGCTAACTATCAGGGAAATGCGTGTCAAAACCATAATGAGATATCACATCATACCTATTAGAATGGCTGTTATCAAAAGGACAAAAGATAATAAGTGTTGGCAGGGATGTGGAGAAGGGGGAACCCTCATGTACATGGGTGGAAATGTAAACAGTATAGCCACTATGGAAAACAATATGGAGATTCTTCAAAAAATTAAAAATGGAACTACCATATGATCTAGCAATCCTACTATTGGGTATATATCAAAGGAAATGAATTCAACTTACCAAATCAATATCTGCACTTCCTTGTTCATTTAAGCATTATTTACAATAGCCAAGATATAGAATCAGCCTAAGCATCTTATCAGTGGATAAACGGATAAAGAAAATGGGGTACATATACACAATGAAATATCATTCAGACATTACAAAGAAGAAAATTCTGTAATTTGTGACAACATGGATGAACTAGAGGACATTATGTTAAGTGAAATAAGCAAGGCACAGCAAGATAAATACATAATCTCACTTTTTATGGAGTCTAAAAAATTTAAACTCAAAGAAGCAGAGAGTAAAATGGTAGTTCCCAGAGGTTGAGAGTGAAGAGGTTGGAGAGATTCGGTTAAAGTACACAAAATTTCATTTTGATTGGAAGAAGAAGTTGAAGAAACCTATAGTAGATTCTAATAGTAACAATATATCATATTCTTGAAAATTACTAAAAGAGTAGATTTTAAGTGTTTTCACCAAAAAATGATAAGTATCTGGGATAATTAATTCCTATGTCATTTTTCTGTATCTAAACATTTCATTATTTACACATATTTCAAAACATTATGTTGTACATGAAAACTATATACTGTTTTTGTCAATTAAAAATTAAAAATAAAAATAATTCTGAGGGAGAACCAGAAATAACAACAAAAGAGGCAGTAAAGAGTATTTTCTTCAAAAGCACAGTTCAATTAATATGTGTACATAAATAAATATTATATATTACTCAATATATAGGATATAATTCTATCCATATGAACACATACTAATAAATACATACACACACACATAGCCTTTCTGATTCTCTCTCCATGTGTGACATTGCTCAAGCCTTTGTTAAATTATTGTATTCTATTTGGAGTTATGTCACTTAAGATAGCCATCAGTGACTTTTGAATATTATTTTGAGTAGCAGTGAGTGACAATTTGTTTTTCTATTGAGAAAAAGTGAAATAGTTGAATTTGAGCTGGTTAAGTTCATTTAGACATATAAAGAACTTTTTAACTCATATTGATCTTTAGCCTGAAACTAGGAAATGCTATATTTTTAGCATGTGAAGATAGGAACCAACCACTCAAAGAACCTTTTGAAGTAACTGTCCTCTTGTTAAGCCTATGATTTCAAAAATAAAAAGAAAACTGTCATTTATACTAATTAAAGGAAATAATACATACTAAAAAAGTAAAAGAAAAAATGAGAAAAATCTGGATAGAACTCAATTGCGGTCACTTTATCTCTTCTTAACAGTCACAAAATGAAATATTTGGGTCACAGTCAAGCAGTGCTTCATAGGAACTTATTAAAAACAGAGTTCATTGGTTCACATATACTTTGAAGGTTTTTAAAAAGTGAACTTATTCTACTGCTTTCAATCATTTTGCTTTACAGTGGCCATCAGGTCTTAGGATGAAAAAAATACCCTGTTATTTTGAAGAAGTATCCAAATTTTATCTTTGGAAGATAAACACTTTAACAGAAGATCCAAAAACGTCGATAACATCTTAACACTCTTTGATTCCTTTATTATTCTTAGTTGTGTCCTCTAATTTTTTATGTGTTTGCTAAAATTATTTGCACACAAAATAAATTTAGTTATACATAGGATGAGACAGTCACAAGTAAAAGATCAGGTGAGAGTACTGCATCAAGATTGTTTAAAAGATGATTATCTTTAGAATTGTGCACCTAATCTAGTGTAACATATTGGCTTTATTTTTATTTAGTAGCAATCACAGGCTGAATCTGTTATTCAGTCAATTGATCAAAACCTAGAAGTGCTACCAGTAACACTGCTGTGTTTTCCCAAATAATGCAATGAATAAATAATAGGTATAATAATGAAAGCTACCTGAGGCTAATCCAATACCACATTCCCTATAAAATGATTTGTTTTTGCTAATATCTATATTTTCAGATATCTGAACATTTCATATGAGCAAATATTATGCTTGTTTGAGATTATAGAAAGGTCTTGTGCTGTTTCTCCATTTTCTATTTACACCACAATTTTCAAACCCGAGTTTGGCAGGATTTGGCAGGGTAATAATCCAGAAATAGAGTTATATGACTATCTTGGTTTCACTGTTACAAACTGCAGCATGTACTATAATAAGGGAGGTTGTTCTAAATGGTTCTAGCTGGGATGGGAAAGACTTAAGAAGAGGCAAGGAGGCCGGGTGCAGTGGCTCACGCCTGTAATCCCAGCACTTTGGAAGGTCAAGGCGGGTGGATCACGAGGTCAGGAGTTTAAGACCAGCCTGGCCAAGATGGTGAAACCCCATCTCTACTTAAAATACAAAAATTAGCCAGACGTGGTGGCAGGCACCTGTAATCCCAGCTACTCGGGAGGCTGAGGCAGAGAATTGCTTAAACCCAGGAGGTAGAGGTTTCAGTGAGCCAAGATCATGCCACTGCACTCCAGCCTGGGCGACAGAGCAAGAGTCTGTTCAGAAAAAAAAAAAAAAAAAAAGGCAAAGAGATTAAGTTCACTAACTCTTTGGGATATTTTAATATTTTAGCTCTGTCCCATTCTGAAGCTTCTGGTGTGTGTATGTGTGTGTAAAGAATGGTTAAGTCTTGGTTCAATATTTTTCTAAATGGCTATCTTATTTCAACTCTACTGCACCTTAAAACTTTAGGGATTAATAATCTATCATATTAGTAATATTTTATCGGTACCATATTGTGAAATACAAATTTCGATGTTGTCTATAAATAAGCTTACCTTCACATCTTTGACATTCATCCTTGTTCCCTCTTTCCCAACAAATATATCATCAATGTCCACAAGGATGTACCTGTCCAAGGACAATGTCAGCCTCTTCCCTGACAAGAAGGAGATGGCATCTATGAAGATGAGCTTGTGCAGCCAAAAGTTCAAGTTGTTGCCAAAAAGTACTCTCTGAATTCCATCATGAAGCCCCAGATCCTGAATCACCGTTGCAAAGAGTGTTTTGCTAGACAAGGATGACAGGGATTTTTCTGTCTGTAACTCAGTTAAAAGTACAGGCTGGTAGGTTGAATGATTATATTGGAAAATAGTCCAGTCTTCCCCAGGAAGAGGGCCTTTCTCAACCTTGGGGGCTTTGGTAATATGCAGCAAAGGAGATTGAGGGTTAACAAAACAGTCCTTTAGAGCTAGATTATTGAAAAGGTTTAACGGAAAGCCTTTTAATTGTGTACTTGGTAAGCTGTTCTCATTGGCTTTATGAAAACCGATTATACTAACACTGTATTCCACACAGTATTTTTCTAAAAGCTCTCGATTCCATGAGTCCATGCTGACATACTTCAGAATATTTTCATAAATAACTAAAGTATATTTCCCTTTGCCATTATCTGTAAGAGGAGGTATATCTCCCTTTCCAGGGGCAATAACCATGTGGTACTGAAATCGGCTGGACTCCAAAATAGCTATGATATCTTGACCGAGTTGAGAGTATTGGCTCTCCACGAAGAGAAGGACAGTAGGGTCCGTTTTGGATGTGTCAATAGGTTTAACTGTTTTCAGCTCCATTGACCTATATGGTAGAATTTTGATGTCAGTGCATTCTGCTTCTGCAGTGGTTTCAATAAGTGTCATTTCCTGTTTGTAGCCAGAGTAGAGAAAATAGGCAGAAATGACAATGCTCACCAAGCAAAAGGTAGCTAAGAGAACAATCAATGTTCGAAAACTTCTCCGAAGTTTCACAATAAGATTCATTTTTTAGAATAATGTTTTGGAAGCTTTTTCCCAATTTCGTTTCCTAAAGTGCCATAGTGAATAAAGTATGAGATGTTGCAAATATCACTTCCCCAGAGTTCATGTAACCATCGCAAATCATGTAAAATGTTTGAAGGGAGCACAACTGAGTTAAAGCTGGAAGGCAATAGATGGGAAGGATATACGTTGAGGAGATTTTGAATATGTCCAATACTGAGAATTGCTGCAGAATCCTCTAAGCATAATCTGAAAGAGAGGAGAGATGTAATAACTAAGATAAAAATAGAAATATAAATATTTATTTCTATATAAATGCTGATGCTCAAGAAACATATATAGCAATGATAATTTTAGTGTTAATATGCTAAAATATTAACAACCTGATGTTTACAGTCTAGACTTAACTACCTAGAGTATAGTAGATTTTTTGATAACCTCCAGAACACAGAACCCAATTTTATTTTGGCCTAAACATCCATATGTATATAGAAACATGTATTGAGATCATTTTCTAACTAATCCCACCAAAAAAGAAAAGAAGTAAGAAAGTAAGCTTTAACAAAGTATGTCAGTTACCATAAAACTATTCTACAGAACTGATAACCATTATATACATATAAAATTAGGAAATCAGGAATCAGGGGCTTAGAGCAATTAAACATGCTCTTAGGTATCTGCCTGAGTCTCTGGAATTCCCAGCTGACTAAATAAATCTGTCTTAAGTTTAGAGTAGTTACAAGTTTTTCTCTTGAATAATATATCCTTTATCTGGACTCACAGGGAGCCACTTGGCCCTCTTCAGCATTACAGCCCAGATACATAGGACTGCTCCTTCTTCTTGCAGGAACAGGCATTCTCAGATCTCGCTAATGAAACAGAGGACAGAACGCTTAGGTGAAAAGAACAATGACATGTTAGTCTCAAAGCATATTTCCTAATTTTGCCTACTCTTGTAATAAGAATTAAAACTCTTACTCATTGTCAATTTTTATCCAAGAATCAGATGTTCTATTTCTCTATCACTTCCTTTAGTTCAAAAAAAATGAATGTAGAATGCATTTGTATTATTTTGTTCTTGTATTGCTCTAAAAAAACACCTGAGACTGGAAAATTTATAAAGAAAAAAAGGATTAATTGGCTCACGGTTCTGCAGGCTGTACAGGAAGCATAGCAGCTTCTGCTTCTGGGGAGATATAAGGAAGCTTCCAATCATGGTAGAAGGCAAGGGGGTGCCAGGTATCTCACATGGTGGAAGCAGGAGCAAAAGAGAGAGTGTGTGTTTAGAAGACAGGAAGATGAGGATATGTTTGGAACTTCCTAGAGACTGGTTTTAAATGGTAGTGACCAAAATGCTGATAGTGATATGGACAGTGAAATACAAGCTAAGGAGGTCTCAGATGGAAATGAGGAACTTATTGGGGACTGGAGAAAAGGTCATTTTTTGTTATGCCTTAGCGAACAACTATGCTACATTGTGCCCCTGCCCTGTGGATCTGTGGAACTTGAACTTAAATGTGATGATTTAGGGTATCTGGTGGAAGAAATTTCTAAGCAGCAAAGCATTCAAGAAGTGGTGGGTGGATCACGAGGTCAGGAGTTCAAGATCAGCCTGGTAGGGATAGTGAAACCCTGTCTCTACTAAAAATACAAAAAAAATTAGCAGGCATGGTGGTGGGTGCCTGTAATCCCAACTACTCAGGAGGCTGAGACAGAGAATTGCTTGAACCCGGGAGGCGGAAGATGCAGTGAGCTGAGATTGTGCCACTGCACTCCAGCCTGGGCAATAGAGCAAAACTCTCTTCCGCCCCCACCAACCCCCGCCCAAAAAAAGTGACCTGGATGCTTCTAACAACCTATACTGGGATACATAAGCAAAGAAATGACCTAAAGTCAGAACTGATATTTAAAGGAGAAGCAGAACTGTGAGGCAATTAAAGCTCTTCTTCATAAATTACCCAGTTGCAGCTATATAGTCATTTGAGAATGAACTAACACAGCATTAAAAAAAAAATTTCCCATTATACACTACATTACTACAGGCACGGTGGCTCAGGCCTGTAATCCCAGCACTTTGGGAGGACAAGGTGGGCAGATCACAAGGTCATGAGATCGATACCATCCTGGCCAACATGGTGAAACCCCGTCTCTACTAAAAAAGTACAAAAATTAGCTGGGTGTGGTGGTGCATGCCTGTAGTCCCAGCTACTCAAGAGGCTGAGGCAGGATAAATGCTTGAACCTGGGAGGCAGAGGTTGCAGTGAGCTGAGATCACACAACTGCATGCCAGCCTGGCCAGTCTGGGCAACAAGAGCAAAACTCTGTCTCAGAAAAAAAAAAAAAAAAAAATCCCAAACTGCTTCATCACGAATGGACATAATTTTCCATTATTATTAGATGTTTTTCTTTGTATAGATGATTCTGACTTCAATGAATTACTTTCTATACAAGCTTACTTCATCTGTCTCTACACTGTTAGAGTACTTAAATAATTTTCGATTTCCCAGTTTGCCAAACTTTCCCTAGGATAACTATTTTGGGTGAAAATAGTTCATGTTATCAATGTGTGATATATATATTTAAGATATGCATTACATCAGACATATTACATCAGAGAGAATTAAACTAGCATGCTTTTTAATGAGTGGTATGTTCTATCACACTGTGGATATTTTATGGATTTCTTTATTTTTTAATTGGGGGATCTGAGTGATGAATGCTTATTAATGATGACTGAAAACTTTTTAGATTACATAGTTAAACATTGCAAAATTATGTCGCTACTTTTCATTTTATATTTCTATGTTCTACAATACTTAACCTCATTAGTAATTTAAGTTTTAAAAATCTGCATGATGTTGAAATGGTTGTTTTTGTCAGAAAATAACTTTTAAACTTTTTCAAAAAATTAAAAATTTTCATCAAATATTTTAAATATTTTAACACTTCAGATTCCAAATATATAAGTGGACCTTAGCTTTTCACTGTGAAACATATTGTACCAGTTTGCAGTCTCCCCAGTGACTTCACATGGACTTTAAAAACAAATGAATCCCACATGTTGGGGAATTACTAATACTCTATTTACAAATTTTATTTGTTTCATTTATTTATTTATTTTGAGATGGAGTCTTGCTCTGTCACCCAGGCTGTAGTGCAGTGGCCTGATCTGGGCTCACTGCAGCCTCCACCTCCCAAGGTCAAGTGATTCTCCTGCCTCAGCCTCCCTAGTAGCTGGGATTACAGGCACACACCTTCAAGTCCAGCTAATTTTTGTATTTTTAGTAGAGACTGGGTTTCACCATGTTGGCCAGGCTGGTCTCAAACTCCTGACCTCAGGTGATCCACCCACCTCGGCCTCCCAAAATGCTGGGATTGCAGGCATGAGTGACTACGCCCAGCCAAATGAAATTCTTTAATGTAATTGTCTGCTTTGCAAAAGTCTTTGTTTCAAAACTCAGCTCCCTTTAACCAAATTGGATTGCATTTTACTAAAAAGAAATGGAATACAGCAATAAAAAGGCTTTGGTTTGGTCTGAAATATATAAAGCAATTATATTATATCCTCTACTTTTATGTATGCTTGAAAATTTTCATATGTAAATTTTTTAAATAAAAACTCATTAAAAGATACATATATACATATATATAGTGTGTAGTGTGTGTGTGTGTGTGTAATAATGAAAGTGAAAGATATTTGGAACTTGTCGAAGGAGATTATTAATCTTATATCAATTCTTAGATTTATCCAAGCTCACATATTTAATTTAAAAATCTATTTAAACAAATGTAAAATCAGACCCACCCCATCCACACAACTCCCCCAAATAACCCAATAAGAGCAGATACCTACTTACATGCTTTGGAGGATTGCTTAGTATTTTAGGAATAAATTTAACCAGGAGATTCGGAGAGAAATTAAATGTAGGACAAGTTAATACTTGGTTTAATCTTTACTTCTTCTCACATTAAAAATGTGATTTTTATTTTTGAATACACAAAGGAGAATATGTCAGTTTTGCATATTTAGACTATCTCCTCCTAATGCAATAGTGAAAAATAAATTAAAAAAAAAACCATATGGGGCAAGAATCTGCCAACCCAAAGAATAAATAAAATTTAAATGTGAAATTTATTTAACAGTAATATGTTCAGAGTTAGAAGAATGATAGATACATATTACCACCATGGAAGACATATGTGTTTTCAATGTAGGTGTTTTAACTAAAGGAGTTATCCTTCCCATTCAATTCTCCCAGTTCTCCTTCCCTAGCAAAACTGGCCGGTGGAGATGAGGAAGCCTGGACCATACAACTTGATATACCATAAGTGTTTACCTATGTCTCACACCTGAAGTAAGAAATGGTATTATGACATTGTTTAGGATGCCAAAAAGGTGTAGTCTGTGATTAGTTTGAATCTCTTACCTACTGTGTGACCCTTGAAAAGGTGGGGGAAAAGGCATGCAGGAGTATGGATAGGGAGAGCAACCAACATAAGAATCTTAAGTCGTTACCATAAGTCGAATAAGACAATTGAGATTAATTTTCAAAAGGCACGTGTTAAATGAGTCACATAAAATTAAAAAAATTACTTCAGGATAATAACGAAGACATTAAAATGCTGCTATAATGGTATAAAATATGTGGCATTTATTTTTAAGTAGTCTAAGGTGATACACCAAAATTTTTATTTTACCTTAATTAGTTTCTTCTTCAGGAAGACCCTGGGACAAGTCAGCAAGAAACAGAAACATTTGAGAGCTTTCCTTTCCCCACTTTCCCCTTATATGGTGATGTTGACCTTTCATTATAGAAATAACAGACAAATATGTGGATTACTGAGTAAATTCCATCTGTGGAAAAACTATTTTATTAACCATCAAACCAAGTAAGTTAAACAGGCTTTGGTCCCAATTCTTCTTAATCTGACTTTCCATGTTCTAATAAATCTTTCGTTAAAAATTTGGAAGGAGAGATCTACTCATTATTTTCATGACAACCTGTCACAAAATGTGGGCTTCATGACCCCTGCACAGGCTTTGATAAGAAAAAAAGGGAGGCTTTTGTAGGTGTTGATTTTCCTGTTCTCATTTTTGTTTTCTTATTTTTACCTTCTATCCTTCCAAATGTGGCTTATCACCTAGGTAGTGGAATAAATATCTCCTAGAATCTTTGACTCTCTTTCAAGATTAGAAAATATTATATGATGATATTAACACTATTGTTTTATATATCTGTTATAAGATTGCCTTTTGACATTTTCAAAATGTGTTTAGAGATTCTCTAAAATACAGTTTGCAAAGTTCATTTGCCACATAATCATGGTAAATTTCTAGTAATCTCTGGTAGCAGCAGAGAAGTGAGTTAGTAAACAAAGCAATTACAGGTACTACTGTAGTTATTGCTACTTTTGGAAAGGCTGAAATACAGAAGAAAGCTAGATACTAAATCACATTGCATATACGTGTGGTTGTTTCTTTGTTGAAGGTGATCTGATGAGCTGTACAGATCACTAAAGAGGCTCCTGAAAATTCAGCTGAAATTGAGAACAAGAGCAACGACGTTTACCAGCATTTAATAAATGGCTACTGCTTGCTAGTAACTATGCTATATTCTTTGTATTCATCATCCTGTTTACTCTTTATGGATCTATTTTTAAAATGACAAAATTAAAATTTAGAAGGTTTAAGAACGGAACTAAGATTAAACTACTAATGATTTATGATACTAGGATTCTACAGTTGCACTGTAGAGAAGAAACAAAGATTAAGTTAAGTGAAGCCAAAAACTTAGCAGTCAGCATAATTAAATAATTTAACTGCAAATCAGCAAGTTTTATTTTAATTTTAAAAGTTCAGCTATTCAAAGCCAAAAATGTCTACCAAAAATGGAGAAAAATTGTAGAGGTGAATTAAATTGATTTGAAAGAGCTGTGTTGTAAATTGGAATGACTTAAGAATTTGCAATAATTTCACTGACCTTGACTTTTCGTGATGGCTGTGAGAAAACTATTTTATTATATACCTTGTTTTTACATGCTTCATGCGTTTTTTTGTTGGCTTTTAAGAATCATAAAGAATTAGCTCATATTTTATATTAATGAAACAGAATTTTTAATTAAAGCTGTTACCTAGGCCAGGCATTGTGGCTCACACATGTAATTCCAGCACTTTGGGAGTCTGAGGCTGAAGGATTGCTTGAGTCCAGGAGTTTGAGACCAGCCTGGACAACAAAACAAGATCTTGTCTCAACACAAAAGAAAAAAGAAAACAAATTAGGCAGGTGCGGTGGTGTGAACCTGTAGTTCCAGCTACTTGGGAGGCTGAGGCAGGGAGTTTACCTTGAGCCCAAGAGTTCAAGGTTGCAGTGAGCTATGATTGCACCACTGCACTCCAGCCTGGGTGACAGAGGGATACCCTGTCTGGAAACACACAAAAACCAGAAAACACAAAAATTATTATATAAACATTTAACTATTTGTTCATATACATTAACTGCACCAGTGCTTCTTTGGAGTGAATTCCAAAATTTGTAACCATCTAAAATGGTTTGGCTGTGTCCTCACCCAAATCTCATCTTGAATTACAGTTCCCATAATCCCCATGTGTTGTAGGAGGGACCTGTTGGGAGGTAATTGAATCATCGTGGTGGTTATCTCCATGCTGTTCTTGTGATAGTGAGTTCTCATGAGATCTGATGCTTTTATAAGGAGCTTCCCCCCTTTGTTCAGCACTCATTCTCTCTCGTCACCCTGTGAAGAGGTACCTTCTGCCATGATTGTAAGGTTCCTGAGGACTCCCCAGCCATGAGGAACTGCGAGTCAATTAAACCTCTTTTCTTTATAAATAACCCAGTATCAGGTGTTTCTTCATAGAAGCGTGAGAATGGACTAATACACTAAGCAAGTACCTCAGAGAGTGAGGCACTGCTGTAAATACCCTGAAAATGTTGAAGCAACATTGGAACTGGGTAACAGGCAGAGGTTGGAACAGTTTGGAAGGCTCAGAAGAAGACAGGAAAGTAAGATAAAGTTTGGAACTTCCTAGAGATTTGTCGAATAGCTTTGACCAAAATGCTGATAACAATATGAACAATGAAGTCCAGGCTGAGGTGATCTCAGATGTTGATGAGGAACTTGTTGGGAACTGGAATAAAGGGGATTCTTGCTATGCTTTAGCAAAGAGACTGGGCCCTGCCCTAGAGAGCTGTGGAACTTTGAACTTGAGAGAGATGATTTAGGGTATCTGGTGGAAGAAATTTCTAAGTGGCAAAGCATTCAAGAGGAAGCGAAGCATGAAAATTTGGAAAATTTGCAGCCCGATGATGCAGTAGAAAAGAAAAACCCATATTCTGGGGAGAAATTCAAGCCTGCTGCAGAAATTTGCATAAGTAACAAGGAGCAGAATGTTAATCACCAAGACAATGGGGAAAACATCTTCAGGGCACGTCAGAGACCTTCATGGTAGCCCCTCCCATCACAGGCCTGGAGGCCTAGGAGGAAAAAATGGATTCATGCACCAGGTCCAGGGTCCCCCCTGCTGTGTGCAGCTTGGGATTTGGTGCCCCGTGCCTCAGGCTACTCCAGCTGTGGATAAAAGGGGCCAACATATAGCTCTGACTGTTGTTTCAGAGGGTGCAAGCCCCAAGCCTTGGTGGCTTTCATGTGGTGTTGGGCCTGTTGGCACACAGAAATCAAGAATTGAAGTTTGAGAACCTCCGCCTATAATTCAGAGGATGTATGGAAATGTCTGGATGTCCAGGCAAAAGTTTGATGCAGGGGCAGAGCCTTCATGGAGAACCTCTTCTAGGACAGTGTGGAAGGGAAATGTGGGGTTGTAGCCACCCCCCCCACAGTCCCTACTGTGGCACTGCTTAGTGAGAAGAGGGCCAGCATCCCCTAGACCCCAGAATGGTAAATTCACCACATCTTGCATCATGTACTTGAAAAAGCCACAGACACTGAATACCAACTGTGAAAGCAGATGTGAGGGGGGCTGTACCCTGAAAAGCTACAGGGGTGGAGCTCCCCAAGGCCATGGGAGCCCACCTCTTGCGTCAGCATGACCTGCATGTGAGACATGGAGTCAAAGGAGATAATTTTGGAACTTTAAGCTTAATGACTGCCCTATTGGATTTCAGAATTTCGTGGGGCCTGTAGCCTCTATGTTTTGGTCAAAGTCTCCCATTTGGAAGGGGTATATTTACCCAATGCCTGTACCCCCATTGTATCTAGGAAGTACTTAACTTACTTTTGATTATACAGGCTCATAAACAGAAGGGACTTGCCTTGTCTCATATGAGACTTTGGACTTGGACTTTTGGGTTAATGCTGGAATGAGTTAAGACTTTGGAGGACTGTTGGAAGGGTAAAATGTGAGGACATGAGATTTGGGAGGGGCAGGGCCATAATAATATGGTTTGGCTCTGTGTTCCCACCCAAATCTCATCTCGAATTGTAGTTCTCATAATTCCTACGTGTCATAGAAGGGACCTGGTGAAAGGTAATTGAATCATGAGGGTGGTTACCCCCATGCTGCTCTCATGATACTGAGTGAGTTCTCACAAAATCTGACTGTTTTATAAGGTGATTTTCCCCCTTTGCTCAGCACTCATTCTCTCTCCTGCCACCCTGTAATGAGATGCCTTCTACCATGATTTTAAGTTTCCTGAGGCCTCCCCAGCCATGTGGAACTGTGAGTCAATTAAACCTCTTTTCTTTATAAATTACCCAGTCTTGGGTATTTCTCCACAGAGTGTGAGAATGACTTAGTACCTCATCTTTCAAGAGAGATGCAGTATTTTTCAAATTACAGGTCACCAACAAGTAAGTGAAAATGAAGTAGACCAGAATAGAAATATTGTCATACTTCATGTACAGCAGAGGTAAGTAGTGCTTTATGAAACTTTATGTTATGGTGTCCGTATATGCATGTGTGTGTATTTGGATACCAATGTAAGATTATTGCTTATTCTGGGTCATGGTCAAAAGTGTTTGAGGAGCACTACTCAGTAGGGCACAATTAATTCAAATTATTTAATCTGGTTAAAAGAATTATAAATATCATAAAGGTTTTAGCTAAAGATCAATGCAGTCTCTTATGATTCTGAGTGGTTTTGGAAAATATCCAATATTGATTAAATAGTAGTTGAGACTATGAAATGGTTGATATCACATGGTTGGTCCCATGGAATTCCTTTCAGCTTCCAGGCCAAAAAATATTATGATATTATTTTCAGTAGCAACCACTGCTACATAAATCATAAATTTTTCAAAATAGAGGTACAAAGTAATGAGTAATTGTTATATTTAATCAAAATCGAGGTAGTATGCCCAGTTTATAATTTTCTGCAGAAATGATCTTTTCTATACCCATAAATAACCAGTTGATATCACCTAACTTCCATACACTTCATATATTCTTGATTTCAGTGACATAATATAAATTTATTTTAGTCCCCAAAGTGTGCATTTTTACCAGTACAAACTCCTAAAAGTGTCATTTCAAACATAATGATAACATTACTACCATAATATTATATTGTAACATAATATTATACTAGGTTCATAGCTCTGAGCTATCAGCTACATTCATACTTCAAAAGATTATGAAGTCAACTCAGTAAATAGAAGAGTAAATGTCAGGCGGTTTCTTTTATCACCATTTCCTGCAGAAATATGTATAGTGCCTATTCACCATTTTCTTAGTTCTTATTTTCTAAAGCAAAGAAAGGACATGATTTTTTAAAAATAAAGAGTCTAATTTATTAAAAGCAACTGCAAATTTCTATGCATTCATCTTGCTTATTAGAAAAACATGGGGATTTTGCAAATAAAGAAACTTTTATGTGGATATTTCTTCTGCTTTGCCATATAAGATTTAGATAGAGTAGTAGAAATGCTATCCGTGGCCAAGTTGAGAGGTCTGGTAATCACTGCTTGGAACTTTGTATTTATATTTATAGCTAAGATTTCATCACTGAATTTTACCCTTATACTACTAAAATAATAATCAAATGCCCAGAATGTGTGGACCAGAATTAAACAGGATTAAACAATTTTTGAATGCTTAGATCTGCCCCAGGGTTTCTGACATTCAGAAAGTTTCCTCAGGACCTTACTTAGGATGACTTTGGGATAAATCTGTGACTCTGTCTCATTTTGTATAGATTTGGAGGTAATATTTACAATGGGACATTTATAATCAAACTGAAACCAGACAGGCTATCTAAAATTCAGTTCAATCATGGATTTGCTCCTATTTTTCTCTTTTATGTAAGAAGCCAAGGCATTTATCTGACATCCATTCAGCAAATATATGTATTAACATTTATCAAGAGCCTATTTGCCAGGTACATCTGCAAATTCAAGTATTTCTCTTATTACCAGCAAAAACATCTAAATTATTTTGTTTTAATCTGTTCTCTGTTTCTTCCCTTTCCTATTTCCCCTTCTTCTCTAGAATTTTTTTCTTTTCTTATATTTTTCCTTGACAGTGGATGGTTTTAAAGTTACTGACTTAAGCTTATGCTAATGGAGTTCATGTGAAAAGTGTTGGCATTAATCTGCTAATCTATGTAACAATGTTGCGATTTCCTATCTTGATTTTTTTTCACTCCATATAAACAATTTATATGGAAGCTACAAAGGATGACTGAGGAAATATAATATCATATATAATATCATGATATGCTTTCCTGTTTAGATGTAATATTATTAGCCATTTTCATTCAAAAGTAAACTTTTTTTCTGTAACTTATCAGCAAGGATGATGTGAAAATGTTTTAGAAACTCAACTGCTTTTTTTCTTAACAAAATTTATGTATATTTTATACTTGAAAGTATTATAAATTTTGAAAACCCATAATATTAAAAATAAAATGAACATTAACAAATTCTTATTTCTTTCTATATTTTTCTGTATAATGTGTTTTTACAGTTTAAAATATAATTTTTATCTTATTTTTACACTTAGATTATGATAGTTATAATAAAAGGGGAAATGTGATTGAGACATCTTTGAAATATACATCATTATTTTATTTCTATTTCCCCAACTTATACTATTTTGATGATTTCAATAACTTTCTAAGCCACATGGTCCCTCTCCCTAGCTCCACAATCTTCTACTTTACAAAAAAAACAGAAAGTGAAGGTTGAACTGGCTCAAAATTATGCAGGGAGCCAAGCTGACTCCCTCCCACTAATGTTTCCCAAACTGAAAAATTCTCACTGTCCTTATCTGCCTCCTGATTCCATAGATAATGTATATCTCTTCTAAAGTTAATTTTTTTTTTTTTGCCTCCACCTATTTTCTAGAACTTCAGCCTCTCTCTTCTAGGGACTTTAAAAAACTGGTATAATGCTTTGTTAGTAATTGACCATAAACAGCATCTAAATGTTTCATCTGTAGACCATAAACACCTTCTAAATGTTTCATTTGTAATTATAATCTTCAGGTATCTGAATGGCTTCAGTCCCTACCACTTCCTCACCTTTCCTAGTTTCTGGGTTCTGTGTTTATTTTAGTTGGAGACTCCAGGTATCATTTTGTTAAGAAGTTTAGCTCATGCCCATGTTCATAACATTTTCTGTCACTCTCACCCCCACTCCCGCCCCCAATCCAAGCAACTGCCCTAATTTTTCTCTTTAGCTTCAGAGTCAAGCTTTTTGAGAGTTTACTCTTATAAATTGTTTCATCTTGTTATTCCTGCACTTTATGTGTTGAACCATTTACAGTTCTGGAATGACCCAGGTTATCTCTTTTATCTTTAAGTCTAATCAGTTCTTATTCATTTTTAGAAAGATTCAGCTTGGATAAAACTACCTCAAAAAAGTCACCCCTGGCATTACAGAAGTTAGTTTAGTGAGTGTGTCTGTCTCCACAATGCTGTCATAGTACAGCCTATAACACAGACATTTTAAATGAGTAATTATTCATGGATTTCCACCAAGGCAGGAACTGTGATTTATTTAGAATTGAATCTTCTGCATTTTGTAAACTTCCTGCTATTTAATGCACAAAACAATTATGCCAAAACAACAATAACCATATTTATGTCTTGAATATATTCACCTTCTTTCTCTACCCCAAGGTACAACTCAAATGATCTTTTCTCCAGACACTTGTTGGGAAAGGTGGTGGATGGAAGGAGTCTGAACTTCAGTTTCTTCATTTTCTAAATGAAGGATATAAAATGGTTTATATTTCTATTTCCATGTATACACTCATCAGGGAAGATTTGGAAGGATGCTCAACAAAATATTGATCGTCTCTGTTTTGTATTTTCTATATTATTTCATTTTTTTCAAGAATCATATACTAGCTGTATAAAAGCACAAAAATGTAGGATCTTTTAAATGGGTGAGTTTCATAACTGTAAGTTTGCTTCAAACTATAAAATTCTATAATCTTATGAATAACAAGCCTTTCCTATTCATGCCTGTCTCTGGTAGTCTTTCTTCCTCTAAATCTCTGAAGAATATATTGTCCTTATCTTTTTTATAATACCTTTGCATTTTTACATAACTGGTTTATGTGTCTTCCCCAGAAGACTGTGGGTACATTTTCAATAGCCTAATCTATATAAAAAGCTTCTCTTTTCACAATAAGCTACTTAGTTTATTTTCCTTCAAGCATAACCCAATACTAAATTAGACACACAGTAGATTAGTAACAATCTTGAGTAAGTCAGTTAAATTGACGTTCAATGTTATAATGTTTTAATAGTTTTTTATTGGAACAATGATCTCAGAATCAAGCCTAAAGTTTTGAAAATTGGAAAACCAATTGCACCAAATTATCTCTAAGTTTACTGATTATCAACCAGACCCCATTTGTAGTCACAGGATATGTAGGTCTGGAGAAATCTGGATTATATTAATATTGGTATATGTCCCCACAGAATTTATCTATTTATTTATATTAATTTTATTTTTATATTTTGGTAAGCACACAAAATTTGATCTACCATCTTCACCAACTTTAAGTGTAACATGCAGTATTATTGCAGTATTATTTAAAAGTCTCAGCTGATTATTTTTAAATACAATGATAAATATATCATTTCTACCTCAATCATTAATTTTTTATGTTATTTTTAGAAGACTTTTTCTAATGAATTTTTTACTACTCAATCCTTTCTCTTGTATTTCAGAGAAGGAAATATATATTTTTACTAGGCACAAAACACAGCTATAAAGGACCTATAAAGTACCTCTACCAATAGAATAACCTATTCTACAGAGTTATGTTCTTGACTTTAAAACATTTTTAAAAAATGATATTTACACCTAATTTTTATTTTTTAAAAATCCAAAATAATGATAGAAGATAATTTATTATAAGGAATGAATATTTCCTAAAGTTGTAAAATACTCAGCCAAAACTAAAGTGAAAAAGGATCTAATTAAATTACAGAAAGATAACATAATAAAATGAAATAATTTATTCTCAATCCAGTCACCTTTTTTTATAACAGGCCATAAAACAGATTTGTTAATTATATTTGATATTTTTTTCTAGAATTAGGAAATAATAACCTGTCTATCGGTATATCACGTTTATGTGAAAGGAGAAAATAAAAAATTTGATTTTTTTAATGGGTATTTCTGAACACTCTTTTGGTCTCCTAACTTTTTCAACACTAGAGGGCAATATACTCTTGCTTTTATTGCAAAAATAGGCCAACAGCACCTGTTCTCCATTGACAGGTTACTAAACTAAAGAAAGTGTTAACTAGATAAGTCCAGGGAGTATAGGTAACTGGGCTCTCAGGATGAGCATCGTGCTGTTGACATCAGCGAAAGATCAGTGACTCAATGTTAAAATACTAATTTTGCCACAATTACACACCAAATACATTTTAATCAATTCTCTTCTTCACATTGTAATGAACAGCCATTTTTATATTGCTTGTATGGTTCCCTGCTTCTGAAGTTTTATTTCTGTTTTTCAATATACATCTTTTTGTTACTGTTGTGCACAAAAGAAGAAAAAATAAAACATCACCTCTGTTTAATATTCTGCTAATTTTTGTGAACTTTTAAGGTCTAAATCTTTTTCTGAAAGGAAGAGAGGTACAATATCTACAATTCATATATATCTAAAACAAATTTTGATACATCTTGGTTTCAAATTAACATTTGTCCAGTATCATATTTATTTTATTTTAAGTATATACAATAATATGCATTTGTTTTGGCAAAATAAATTTGCTTTTTCATTTTATATTTCTCTGTTATGCAAACGTGTGTGTAATAATTTCATTTACAAGAAATGACAAAATTTCTAAATATTTGAATCTGCTCAAAGGATTAATCATTTATTTTTTAAGAATCCAAAATCAACATAAAATGAACAATATGAACAACTTATATACAAAAGACAAATGTGTACACCATGGTTTAGATTATTTCTCCATCTACTCTTCTTCTCAATTGTGAGGTAGAAAGAAAAAACACAAGAGCTATATTTGAAATAACTTAAAATTGTGGCTACAATTTCCACTTAGAATGGCATTATAATTTATTTGTAAATTAGGCTTTCTGGATACCAACTTCTATTGTTCATAGTTATATTTTAAAGTTGTCACATTATGTGGTTCCATTATAATTTATCATTTACATGAGAATTTGTGAAAATACATGTTCATATGCAGTTGTTTTGTAGCTAATTTGAAAGATAACGTATCATTAGGAGGTTGTGCTTGCAATGAAGTATACTCAGATTAATCATTCTGAGTAAAATGCACATATATATAATAGATTTTATTTTTATTCATGTTTTGAAATCCTTTCCAAAGTTGCTTTCCCTAAATAAGTGATTAAAATTTGTTAAAGTATTTTTTGGTACTAACAAACCTTTGGTAACTATCACTGAATTTGTCATAAATGAGTACTAAATAACACTATAATATAAGATGCAAACTATATAACTGGAATGCAAACATCGAGATGATTACATGTAATTCAAAAAATAGTCCTTAATTAGGTTTAGTAACATTACTCTACTGAAGTTATGGTTAAGGGCATGTAAACACACACACAAATATCAGAAAAGTCCAGTTTGAAAAGTAGCCATAGAGCAAATATTGCACGACCAGCCTGGGCAATACTGGGATCTGGGAGTTCTTCAAGTGCCACTGCTATTGGTGCCCTTAAACTATGGATGTAGGTGAAGACCCCCAACCTAAAAGGAATTTTTTTTCTGCACCCACTTATTCCCTCATTCACTAGCTTCTGATTCAAAGTCAGCCAGAGGTATTTCAGAATAGCTGCTTTCAGTAGGCATGCCCATGACTTGGCTGTGAGGGAGGCTGGAAAACAATTATTTGATATCTGTAAATGAGGGGGAAACTCATATAATCACGAATTTCTCAAACGTAAGAAGCATGTTCAAGTTGCTGGATATAAGTGAAGTTAAAAAATGATAAAATGTCAGTTAGTCTAAATGAACGTGAGTATAGAATACGGTAATAATAAAATCCTGAGGGATTAAAATCAAAACCAAATAATTGAAATAAATAAGAACAATAGTATAAAAGTACTAAGGGAATAAATGGAGTAAAATGTTCTAGAAATGCTGTATTTTCTGCAAAGGTCATAGTATCAGTTAACTTTGCATATTGGTAAGTTAAGGGTGTATATTGTAGTTTCTAGTGAAACCAATAAAGAATATACCTATCTATGCATATTCTTCAACATCAAAACTAGTAGTGGAGAAAAAATAAAATAAGAGAAAAATATTCAATTAAAAAAATTTAGTAGAAACCTACAGCACATAAGACTAGTAGAAAACACAAAATAAATAGGTCTGTTTAGGTTAGTAATCACGTTAAAAGTAAATTAACTAAATTATCTTTCAAAAACAAAAATTTGCAGATTGACTGAAAAAATCCAAGTATATGCTGTTTACAATGGATATAAAATAATGGGTGAAAGTAATCATGAAAAAGATATGCAGAAATTATTTTGTGATGATAGAAAGTTCAATTCACCAGGGAGACATTAAAATTTAAATGTGTATGCATCCAATATCGTGGCCTCAAATTTACAAAGCAAAAATAGTCAGAACTACAATAAAACATTTATAAATTCCCAATCACAGAGTAAGAATTCATACCATTTCTCAAGAATAATTTTATAATAAATTGGATAGAACATTAGAGCGGTGGCTCATGCCTGTAATCTCAGCATTTTGGGAGGCCAAGGTGGGCAGATCATGAGGTCAGGAGATCGAGACTATCCTGGCTAACACGGTGAAACCCCATCTCTACTAAAAATACAAAAAGTTAGCTGGGCGTGGTGGCGGGTGCCTGTAGTCCCAGCTACTCTAGAGGCTGAGGCAGGAGAATGGCGTGAATCCGGGAGGCAGAGCTTGTAGTGAGCTGAGATAGCGCCACTGCACTCCAGCCTGGGTGACAGAGCAAGACTCCGTCTCAAAAAATAAAAAAAAAATAAAGAAGACCTAAATAATATGACTAACAAATTTGGTCTAAAAGACATATGCAAAATATGATTCTCAAGACCTGTAAAATATTAGGGAATTTGGGAATATTTACAAAAATAAATCATTCCAAGCCCCAAATGGAGTCTCAACAAATTTTAAAGAGCTAAAAATCACATGGAGCATATGCACTATGACTGTAATGCCATGTACCCAGCAACTAATAACAAAATAACTAGAAAATGCTCCTGTATTTAAAATTTAAGAAACATAATTAAAAACAATTATAAATAAGATATGAGTAAAATACATTTAAGAGTTTTAGAAGCATGTACCTGAAAAAGTCTGAAAATTAATAAGCTAATAATGTAAGCGGTCATCTTAAAAAGCTAGAAAAAGCAATAAAACAATAAAAAGATGGTAGAAGGAAAGAAACAATAAAGATGAGCAGAACACATTCAGATATTCAGATAAGAAATACAATAGAGAGAAAAATAAAGCAAGAAGCTGATTTTTTTAAAACAGCTAATCAATTTGACAAACCTCTGCTGACATGAAGATAAAACAAGATAAAGCAAACATAACTGATGGAAATGAAAAAGAGAAAGTAAACTACATCTGCTTCAGATGTTAAAAAAATAAAAGAAAATTATTAATGAAGTTATTAAATATTTTAATCTTCAGTACAATTACATGTACAAAGTTCCTATAAAATATTGCTTTATTAAAATGTAAGGTTTAGAGAAGCCTCAAAATGAATAAAGCAAAATAGAATTTGAATAGTCAAAAATATTTCCAGAAAGAAACCTCCAGTCACTGATGTCAACAGAAGATCTCATCAAAACTTCAAAGAATAATGTAATTCCAACCTAACACAATCTGTTGTCAGAGAAATGATAAGAGTAATAGCTGTCAACCTTATTTTATAAGACTAACATAATGTTGATTGTAATAAATAATAAGAGAAAACACAAAAAAAATTACAAACAACATAATTCATGAATATAAGATGTAAAATTTGTAAACAAACATAAACCAAGCCAGTTATCTATAAAAAGAATAAAACATAATGACAAAGTTGCAAGCAGCCATTATAGGTTGAATTATTTCCCCTCTAAAATTAATATGTTGATTTTCTAACCCCCAGTATCTCAGAATGTGACCTTATTTGGAAATAGGATTGTTGCAGGTGTAATTAGTTAAGGTGAGGTCATGCTGTAGTAGGGTAGGCCCCTAGTCTAATATGACTGCTGTCTTTATAGAAGGGAGAAATGTGACAGACAAGCACACTGGGAGAATGCCACAAGCCAAGGAACTACCAGAAGCCAGAAGAGAGATCTGGAACAGATCCTTCCCTACCACTTTCAGAGGGAGCATGGCCCTGTTGTCACTTTGATCTAGAACTTCTAGCCCCCAGAACTGTGAGACAATACATTCCTGTTGTTTAAGGCACTCAGGTTTTAGTGCTTTATTATGGCAGCCCTAACAAACTAATACTTTATCTGTGGATTGCAAAGTTAGTTGAATTTTTAAAAATTCATCAAGGCTCCCAACACAATGTCAGAGACAGCTGTCTACCAAGAATTCCAGCCCTTCTTTGCATGTTCCCACCTCATTCAAATCTTACAGCATGATCACTGCTGTAGGTATTGGGCTCCTCAGGTCTTAACTCATCAAACAGGAGCCTCACAACTTCCTTCATTATGCCATTTATCCCCGGCCATATCAGTTACCAAAGACACTCAGCACTCCAAGAACTTTCCTTATCCACCTAGCTAATACTGTTTGTGATGCTATTCCCTACCCTCTCTTTTTCTTGAAACCTTTCAGTGTGCTTAGCAGAAATCATGGTCAATCATCAGAAAAAGTATTTCCTTACATGGTGAAATGATTCTCCAAAGGTTTTCTTCATCTTCCTAGCTCTAACTGAAATCTGGCTTTCCCCTTAGGACCTCAGAGCTCTCTGGTATATGTTTTCTCTCCCAGTTAGTCTACTATTGGGTCAGGAAATTGGTTAGATGTCCTTTTTATTTCTCATTGTCACTAATAGCCTATTTTTCTTTTCTACTCCCTAAAATCCTCTAACTTTTCATCTTATCAAACCATACCACCTGCCTCTTCTCCTTAAAGCAATTACCAACTAGTACCTGGGTTAAACTCCTTTAATCCTAGAAAATCTTATCTTTTAGAAAACTCTCATGCTTTTAAAAAAGTACTCATGAATAATTATTGGTAATAAAGATATCCATATGGATGATCCTTCCAACACTATAGAGGTTTTATGCATCCTCTTAAATGTTTCTTCTTTCTCCCTACTATTGTTAACAGGCCCCATAGTCATATGCTAGGTCTTTTCATTATAATTAATCATTGTATAACAGTAAGCAATTAATAATATTTCATATATTGTGCTATCCAATCACAATCTTCTATTTCTTTTGCTCACTTCACCTGTTAATCCAACATCAACAATATTTCAAACCTCTAAAATCTTTAAGTCATTTATCCTTTAACTTTACACTCTCTCTCTCATGGCCTCACAATCCCCCTTACCCAGTTTAAATTCCATAATCAATTATTATATTAATTCTATTTTATATACTCTCAAATCATTTTACACTCTTTTATTTCATGATGTACATTTTTTAAAACAAAACTGACTAAATCCCACTGTCCACCAAATCTACACTTGCAATTCTGATAATGGATAGAACATTACTCAACACATTTTTTAGAACAAAACTGACTAAATCCCACTGTCCACCAAATCTACACTTGCAATTCTGATAATGGATAGAACATTACTCAACTGACTTAAATTCATGATCAGTAGACCCAAATGAGCTTTTAATTCTGTGATAAGTCTTGCTATCTCTTTTTAGTTCATTAACTATCTTTTCTCCTAGATGACTGTTTCATATTTTTCTCTATCTTCAAACTTCTAACATTTCTTTCCTTTTCATTGTTCTCATCTGATAATCTTGCTTTCTATTTCATAGAGAGCACAGTAGCAAGCAGACAAGGATTTTCATAAGCACTCAAACACTTATTCCCTATGTGAGTGTATGTTCTCTTTAGGATGAGTTATCCATTCTAGCTAAGGACACCCTCCTTAGCTAGAACAAGTGTTCACCAGTTCTAATGCATTATCACTTACTCACTGAAGATATTGCTTCAGTAATACTTTTCACACTCCCATGTAGCAATAATATTTTCCTTCTCGACTAAAATATCCATTCTAACACAGGCATTCTGTTCTTTTTTATCATGATTCACTTACTTCACAATCTATCGCTATATTTTGTTCCTGTCTACAGCAAAACTGTTTGAAATGCTAAGTCCAATTTTTCTAGGACCTACTCCAATCAGGCTTACCATCACAACTTCATTGAAATTTATTTTATAAATGTCACCAATAAACTTCACGTTGTAAAATCCATTTATCAATTTTTGCTCCTCATCTTATCTTACTTTACCTATAAGCGGCATTTTATACCCCTGATCATCCCCTCAACCGCACAGAAACTATCTTTAGTAAGCTTCTAGGAAATCGTATATTTCAGTTTCTTTATGACTTAGTCACAATTTATGTTTTTTCTTAATCCTTACCTTCTAAATGTGAAGTTCCCCAGGGCCTATTCTTTACTCTTCTACTCTTTTCTATTTATATTCACTTCCTTGGGATATCTTACAATGTTCTAGTTTTAAGTACTATTGATAAAGTTGACTTCAAAGTTTACGCTTCCAGCTAAATCTATTACCAACTCCTGTTTGTATATCTAACCACATATGTGATATTTTCACTTGGAAATCTAATGGGCATTTCCAACTTAAATGAGACCAAACCTGATTATCTGATATTTTCCTTTATCCTAAACTTATTCTTCCCACTGTTTCTCCATATAAGTAAATGATGCTTAATTTTTAAATTTGTTTAGGAACTCTCTTTCTCTCTATCTCTATTGGGGCTGGCCATTGACTCCTCTCTTTCTTTCCCGTCAGACATACCAGGCATCCCATCCATTGGCTCTACCCATAAAATATATCTTGAATCTGAACATATCTTAACAATTCCCATGGCTATCACCTCTGCACAAATTAGCATTATTTCTCCACTGGACTATTGAAATTTCTTTCTAATTGATCTCTGCCTAAGCCCTTGCTCCACATCATTTTTTTCCCAATACATTGACCAGGGTCCTCATTTTACAATGTAATTAAGGTTATGTCTCTCCTCTGATCAACTCCCCACCACCAAAATCGGCCCTAATTTTACTTAGAGTAACAGCCAAATTCACAGAGTGGTCCACACAGTTCTACCAAGTATTCTACTACATCTTCCCTACTGGGCCTCTCTATATTCTCCAAACATGCTGTGTTCTTTACATATGTACTTCTAGGCTTCTGGACTTCTTGTTTCTTCTTGCCTAGAATACTTGTGAACCAGATATAAACATGGCAGATGTCCTCATTTCTTTTAATCTTTTATTCAAATGTAATATCCTCAGTATAGTTGTTTCCGGTTTCCCGGTGCAAAATTGCAAGCTCCCTCCTTACACTTCCTAAACCCTGCTTGGTTGTGTGTGTAATACTAACAATCTATTACACCATATACATAATATTACATTTCTTCTTGTCTATCACTCCAATTAAAATGCAAACTCTTTGAAGCTGGAATATTATTCTGTTCTGTACCTTTTATTCCTAGTTCCTATATCTCTCTTTACAAACGAGTAGCAAGAAATTGGATTGAAAAGGTAGGTAGGTAATAGAAGATAAAAAGGTCTTACTCAAATTCTAGAGAGTTTAAATTTGTTTAAAATTGGACAACTATTGAAATACTTCGATGTGAAGACTGACATGGTAAACATTTCCTTTTAGAAAGTTATCTTTTGAGGAACTAAGAGGGTGGATTAAAGCCAGCAGGTAGGAGACCAGTTAATAATTAGTTACAATAGTCCAGAGGAAGACTTAAAAATGAAAATATGGATTAAAAAGAACACGCAAAGTATATTTGGAAAGCAAAAGACTCACAGTCACCAATTCAATATTAAAGGAGAATAACAAAGTTGGAGGATAGATACTAACAAACTTCAAGATTCAAGGTTTATTATAAAGCTATAGTAATCAAGACACCGTGGTGTAAATGAAAGAACAGACCAGAATAGTGATCCCAAAAATAAACTCACAAAAATATTGTCGATTAATGTTTTCCTTTTCTTTTTTATTTTTTAATCAGGTTCCCCCTCTGTCACCCAGGCTGGAGTGCAGTGGCATGATCACAGCATGGCTAACTGCAGCTTAGCCCTCCTGGGATCAAGTGATCTTCCCACCGCAGCCTTCTGCATAGCTAGGACCACAAGCATGTGCCACCACACCTTGCTAATTTTTTTTATATACATATTTTGTAGAGACAGTGGTCTCACTATGTTACCTAGGCTGGTCTTGAATTCCTGGGCTCAAGCAGTCCTTCCACATTGGCGTCCCAAAATGATGGGATTACAGGCATGAGCCACCATGCCCAGATGTCAAGTATCTTTGACAAAAGAACAAAGGTAATGCAATGCAGAAAGGATAGCCTTTTCAATAAACCCTGCTGGTACAACAGAACATCCACATGCAGAAACAGTGATTTACACACAGACTTTACAACCTTTTTAATAATTAACTCAAGTGAATTTTAGACTATTTGTAGATATAAATTTATTGAAATGTAAATGTAAAATACATAACTATAAGACTCTTAGAAGATCATATAGGAGAAGATCTAGATGACCTTGATTTTTTTTTACTTAACACAAAAGGAACAATCCAAAAAAGAAAGAATTGATACGTTTAACATTATTAAAGTAATAAACTTTTGCTCGGTGGCAGACACTCTGAAGAGAAAGATGACAGGCTACAAACTGGGAGAAAATATTTGCAATAGCCGTATCTGATAAAGAACTGTTTTCCAAAATATACAAAGAACTCTTAAAATTCCATAGTAGAAAAACAACCCAATTCAAAAATGGGAAATAAAAACCTAAATAGATACCTCCTTAATGAAAAAATACAAATGGCCATTTAGGATATGAGAAGATGGTACACATCATATGGTACTGGGGAGTTGCGAATTAAAGTATCAATGAGATGCCAGTACACACCTTTTAGAATGGGTAAAATCTAAAACAATGACAACACTAAATGCTGGGGAGGACATAGAGCAACAAGTGCTCTCATTCATTGCTGGTAGGAATGAAAAATGATACAGCCACTTTGCAAGACAATTTGGCAGTTTCTTACAAAGCTAAACATAGTCATATTATCCAGCAATCATGATCCTTGGTATTTACTCAATGAGTTAAAAAATTTACATTCACACAAAAATTTGCACACAGATGTTTTATTGCAGCTTTATTTATAGATGCCAAGGCTTGGAAGCTACCAAACTGTCCATCAAAAAGTGAATGAATAAATAAGCTTTGGTACATCTGTACGGTGAAATATCATTCAGCTCTAAAAATAAATGATCTATCAAGCCACAGAAATACATGGATGAACATAAAATGCATATTAGTAAGTGAAATAATCTAATCAGAAAAGGTTATATACTATATAATTCCATTTATATGAAATTCTGGAAAAGGCAAAACTATAGAGTGAGTGAAAGGATCGGTGGTTATCACAGGTTTGGGAGCAGGGAGAGAGGGATGAATAGGTGGAACACAGGTGATATTTAGGGTAGTGAAATTTTTCTATTTAATACTATGAAAATTAATACATAATTAAAAAGTAATGACAATACAACATTTGTTGAAACCCATAGGATATAAAACACCAAGTGTGTGCCCTGATGTAATCTGTGGACTTGGGGTGATAATGACCTGTCAGTACTGGTTTCTTGATTGTAGGAGATGGTGGTGGGAAAAGTTGTACACAGAGAAATATGGAAAGTCTTTGTACTTTCTGTTCAATTTCTGCTGGGAATCTTAAAGTGCTCTAAAAAGTTAAGTCTATTCAAAAAAAGAGCAAGCTGTTTCATGACATTTATATATAACTTTCTAGCTCTTATAAATTTGTAGCCCTATGTGGGCTACTATTACACATGCACAGTAGGATACATTTAAGAAGCACAGTTTAAGAGCCACAATACTTTATTTAAAAGGAATTATGTTCTTCACGTATATTTCCTTAATAACATTAAATAGTCTGATTCATAAGACAAAATGACACTTCTAAAATACCTGTTTCTCTACTCTTCAATTTCCCTGCACCCCAAAGCACGGAGAATTTCTGGAAATCCTCTCATTACAATACCTCGTTTCTGACAAATGCTTCACTCCTTTTTTTTTTTTTTCCCTCCTGCTCTGCCCTCCTTTCCTTAAGTTCCTATTGTACTGATAATTAACCTCACATTCAGAAAGCAAGATGCCCTTATCTTTAAGGGGAAGTAAAAAGCGTGGATGGTTATGTTGTTTGTTAAAGAGACAAGGTCGTGAATATTTTCATATGAATTATTTTTGTCCCATCACATAATAAATAGAAGTGTCATGATTTGGTGATTGATTGGATGTAGAGGAAAAAAAAATCACCCAAAGACTTCAGGCTTTCACAGTCATTCATTTAAAATTGATTGAATGCTCTCTAATAGCCAGATGCACTATCCATCTGACAAACACTATCTCTACTCTTCAAAAGCAATGGAAGTTTATTCTGTGACATATTCTATGACATAAAAAGGCAATTGCAATAAGGCATGATAAGTGTAATAGTGGGGAAGATACAAAGTTATTTAGAAGTAGAGAAGTGTGAGGAGAAAATGAGTAAATTATAATATATCATTTTTGAAAAGTCTGTGAAATATCAAAAAGGAAATGTCCACTAGTTTGCTGACTAATAGAAATGGAATTTAAATTCTTTGCAGGAAGTGTAAGTTAAAGGATAGAAAAAAAACCCTAATATTGAGTAAGAACACTAAGGAACAGGGTGCATGGTAAGATGATAAAGGCTTGCCATGAAAATATTAGGAAATAACACTAAATAAATGGTGTTGGTGGAAGAGGGTAGTAGAAGCTGTACGTAAATAATATAAAAATAAATATTTGTGATAAAAGCTGAATACTATTTATGAGTCAAGAAATACAACACAAAATTGATCTTGAATTTGTCAATCAAGAGAATACTGGTGGTGGTGTTAAAGCAGTCCAGTGGTATAGTGAAGTCAAGTAAAATGTTAAAGTGAGTTGAAAACAAAGTGGTGGTGAAGAAGCTGAGAATAGTTTGAAGAAAAAGAAAAGGAATTGAAAGAGTTAATAGGAATACAAAACTTTCTGTCATGAGGAATATATGCTTATTAGCAGGTGAGAACTCTGTAAGCGATATGAGATTTCAGAGAGAGTGGAGATTCCCATGGACTGACGTCATTAGGAGACGGGTTGGAGAGGGATGTAAATTGTTTTAGCCATTAAAAAATGAGAGGATTTAGATTTTGAGGAGAAAAGAGAGATTTGAAAAAGAAGAGAAAACACAAATCTGTGACAAGTCAGGGGAGTGACATGATCAACTTTGTCCTTAATATTACAATGGAGTATTTATTTTCTGTACTTTTCTGTACACTTAAGTTAAATCAACTTATAGCCAGCAGCAATGATTATCATCAACTGATAATTGCTTTGTTTTAGCTCAATAATCATTATTTAAAACCATTATTATATTTAGTATTGATTTGCATCCTTGCTAATTGCCTCAGAAGACAATCATGGAAGCAGTTATCCATGAAACATAAAATGCTCATTTGACCCTTGTATTCTTACAGGCAAAAAAACTATAAGATACAGAGACAAGTGAATGAAACCAGAATGTAGAAATTTGCTAGCTGACTTATGCATAAATAAAGGAGAGAGAAAAATGATTTTGCCTAATATTTAACATTAAAGTTTAATTTCAAGAAATCACAAAAGAAGTTATTAAAATATCAATGATAACAGTAATCAAATTTTCCATTATTTTTTAATGTAAATTTAATGCTAATAGTATTGCAATTATATTCAGAAGTTACATTAATATCCATAGTCTCTTAGAAGCTATATTTGTAATATTTTAATTATTCTGCTTCTGAATTTAGGTAAGCAGTCACTTCCATCATCATAAATGGAATTTGCCTGTATCAGATGTAACAAAAGATTACTATCTCTTAAAATTCACATCAGTGGTCATTTATATACCATATACTTCTGACTTCCTTTTTTTTTTTTTTTTTTTTTGACATGGAGTTAGGCTCTTATCAGCCAGGCTGGAGTTCAATGGTGCGGCCTCAGTTCATTGCAACCTCCACCTCCCGGGTTCAAGCGATTCTTTTGCCTCAGCCTCCTGAGTAGCTGGAATTATAGGCGCCTGCCACCACGCCTGGCTAATTTTTGTATTTTTAGTAGAGACGGGATTTCACCATGTTGGCAGGCTGGTCTGGAACTCTTGATCTCAGGTGATCCACCAGCCTGAGCCTCCCAAAGTCCTGGGATTACAAATGTGAGCCACTGCTCCCAGCCCCACTGACTTTCTTATCTAGAGACACTTACAATAAATACATTAATGCTGTCCAAAAATTTGGATCATTTTTGGGTGATATAACAAGAGTCTATTACCTAGTTTACAGAAAGGTCTAGCAAGATGTTAATCATTATGTTACCTTTCTATCAAGAAAGTATCTATGTGACATTCTGACTTTGTGCTGCTGGTGATGGAAAATAAACTCTTTCTAAATTGTCACTTTAAATCTATAATACAAAAAGCTATAAATTTTAATTATCAAAATTATTATTCAGAGAACTCAAGGGATGAATGAATGAAGAATGTAATGCCCAAAGAAGTGAAGTGACCAGTCCACTGTTAAACAGCTAATATGAACCCACATTTTTAAATTAATTATAAATCTCTTCTTTCATTGCCACTGCTCTATATTGGCACCTTAAATATCATGAAGTAAAATTTTCATTGCTGTACTCAAGACTTACAAAGAATCTTACTCAAATAGGAAATACTGATATTTTCTTTTGATTATTTTCTAACTATATATTTAATAAACCCTGTAGTTATGGTTTCCACCTTTTATTTACTTCAGAGAGTTCTTAATTTTACGCAACACACAAAATGATTGGATTATTCTTTATCATAAGAGGCATACTCCATTCAATTTCACAGGTAAACCTGCTATTTTTAATTTAATTTCCTTCTATTTTATGTTATTTTGTCTTTTAGATATTAACAAATAAAATGCCAACTTGGCCATAAACCAGAAATAATGTGGATAGTAACATGTAAATATATCCTGTATAGAATATTATTCTCCCACCAAAAACTAATCCAGGTTACACAATTCTCAAACATCAGAAAAGCATGATAAAAACTCAAGAGAAGAGATCTGGAGTGATTTCACATATTCTGCTTCTTGTCAGAGACAACATTTCTTGAGATGTTCCTATTTTAATACTTGATGACTGGCATCTAGAATTATCACGATAGTTACTTATGGATCCTTTAAAAGAATACTAGACATCGTACCAAAATAATTCACTTAGCAAACTGGTTTGGTGGAAAATACTGGGAGATTTAGAAATGTGAAATATTGTGTTTATATTCAAAATATATTTTGGGGAAACAAAGAATAGGAGTGAAAGTGGTCTTGTTTTACATGTGGAAACCATGAGATCAATTTAAAATTTATCAGCACATTTGTGGCAAAACTTAGAATATAGTTTATATCTTTTTACTTTCAGCCTGGGTTAACATTAGTAATTAGTAATTTAAAGTAGCTTATTATGTTTACCAAACTGCTTTTTTGGAAGAAATTACTACTGCCTTGAGAAGGAGACAGATGGTGGCCAGGAAGGTTTCTTGTGTTTACATTGTGTCACTATAAGGGGTGTGGATAAAGACTTCGGAATAAATACTCTCTTCACCTACCTCTCAGCTCTAGCAGTTGGTCAGAAGACCAACTAGGAAACATTTGCATTTGTTTTTATTCTATCCAGTTCTAGTTTCTGAATCTTTGTCTTTGTCTTCTTCAAATTCCATGTTTCTGCTTACTCCAGCGTGACAGAAAATAGAGGAAAACTATTTGGCCCCTTTTTCTAACATTTTTTTCTCTGGGATATAGTATGTTTTCCTGAAAATTTTTGAATGTTAGTTAATTTTCAAGATCATGATAAATCACATTAAAATGTTGGTGAATGAAATTTGATCCTTTAAGTTAGATTCAATGTTATTAATATTAAAATATATGATCAACAATACAGTAGAGACAGTAGAAAAAGGTGACTTAGATCATTATCTCCAAGTGAGAAAGATTGGGAGCAGTCAATACTAATCACTCAGGGGATACTTTAAATCAGTACAAAATGTGGCATTGCAGGCCAAAGTCAGAGTACTGACACATGTAATCAAAACTTGATACTATTAATTTAAAATCTCATGTTTCCCACTGTGTACTAGAAACTTTGGACTTATTGTTATGTTTAGCTGTCTCAGCAAGTCTATGAATTATTATTACCCCATCCCAGATCATGAAGCTGAAGCAGAGAAGAGTTAGAATTTTCAAGGTTATATCATGAGTCAGGGCAAAGCAAGGCTTGGAATCCTGATCTGGTGGAAACCAAGGTTAACACCTGCCTTCCAATATGTCACAATATTATCTCATCTTTAATTCACATTTGTTTACATGAAGGCTTCTACAAAAAGGCATCATAATTAGGTCAATCAATCTCTGCATTCTTTAAAATTTAGAAGTTTATGGAAAGCAAAATTATTTTTCTTATTCATTCCTCTAATGTTGACATGTTATCTTTCTTGGACTGTCTCAAAAGAATAGTAAAATAATATGTTTACAATAAAAAACAAACTTTCACTTACTCAAGAAATGTATTATTTTATTTTCTTTATAAAATGGTACATCTTATAAATAATTCTATTATGAAAATTTGCTTTTTTACTCTAGGGCATATCCTGAGTAATTTCCACTGTGTAATTTTACCCAGTGGTTATTTACTTGAATTATGTTGACCAGTCTTCCAGCCAACTGCTAGAGCTGGATTTAGGTGGGCCAAGTGCTCATTCTAAAACCTTTGTCCATACTTCTTATAGTGCGACAACAAAAAACAACAAGAAATCTTGGTAGCCAGCATTTATTTTCTACGCAAGGCAGAAATTCCTTCCACAAAAGTCTTCTGAACAGGTAGCATTCCAGCCTGTGTTTGTTGCTTTGACTGAGTAGAATCTCACTGATTTTTAGGAAGTATTGTTTTACCTGACATTGCATAGAAACAACTTCCGTACCTTTCGTAGCTTAGTCTGCTAGCGTCACATAACATAAAACAAATTCCTTTTGCATAAAAAAGTATCTAATATATAAAGATAACTATACTGCTCCCTTTTAGCTTTTTTCCTTTAATTATTACTGTGTTTTTCAACTGTTACTCATATAGCATAGTTGCCAGATGTCTTCTCACATTTTACATTTATCAAACCCTTAGTATCTATTGATTATTGGTCAAGCACTCTCTAAGCATTTCTGCCATCAAAAAGCTTTTGGATAAATGGGGAGCGCTGACACACACACAGCAATTACATCATAAGGTAATAAGTGCCCTGATGGAACAGTGTGGGGGTAGGGCAAAAATATCTGGTTCACCATGGGGGAAGAGGAAGGTCATAGAAGACTGCTATTAACATGAGGCATCGGGAAACTGAGAATGATGAACAGGCCAAATAATGTCAGACTTGTATTAAATAGGATCACAGATAACTGTTTCCTGGATGTTGACACTATGGTTCTGTTAATGCATTCTAAGTTTGTATTAGCATTGTATTAGTGTCATCAAACTTTTGGTTCTTGTTAAATTTGAGGTAATTTTATAATTGGAGAAATTTTTTAAAAAAGAAACAGTCATCTCTTGTCATAAGGAGTGGTTCCTGGACCCCCTAACCCTCCAGGACCAAAATCCAGAGATACTGAAACCCCTGTATAAAATCGCATAGTATTTGCATGTAGCCTATACACATCCTCCTGTATACTCTAGCTCAATTCTAGATGACTTATGATACCTAATACGATGTGAATGATATGTACATAATTGTTATACTGTATTATTTAGAGAGTAATGACAGGAAAAAATGCCTGCACATGTTTAGTACAGAAACAATCATCTATGTTTTAAAATACTTTTCATTTTCAGTTAGTTGAATTCACAGATGGACCCATGGATACTAAGAATTACATCGATCTTCATTTCATTATGTTAGGTCCATCATTCCAGCCAACTGGGTGATGTTTTGGAATATTGGTTCTTACCGCCACCAATTTGGGAGAATGAGATATGGAGCCAGCTCCTCTGCTACGTAAGATTTAGTAATAGCACTGAGACCAGGCAGTGGCTCATGCCTATGATCCTAGCACTTTGTCAGGCTGAGGTAGGAGGATAGCTTGAGGCCAGGAAATCGAGGCCAGCGTGGGCAACATGACACCCCATCTTTACAAAAAATATGAATAATAAAATTATCTGGGTGAGGTGGTGTGCACCTATAGTCCCAGCTTCTTGAGAGGCTGATGTGGAAGGATTGCTTGAGCCCAGGAGTTTGAGGTTGTAGTATGCTATGATTGCTCCACTGCCTCCACCCTGGGTGCCAGACAGTGCAAGAGCCTATCTCTAAATAAAATTAAAGAAGGAAATAAATAGCATTGAATTTCAGTCTGTGAGAAAAAAATTTAAAAACCAGTAATTTGAGATAATTTACACACATAATACTTCTTAATACTTAGAAATATAAAGAATAGAAGTAAAGGTGAGACTTCTATTTTCTAAAACTGATTAGTTTTTTTACTTTCCAGAGAAAGTGACACTAAATAGTGTGCCATATCTTAAATTCTCCCAAACAACTTCACAGACCTGAGGAGGATAATCAATAGACAGAGACAAAATTCAGCTTGTCAGCTTGCACATTACAAGAAATTGCTACTCCTCATCACATTTTTCTACAAGATAAAATAATAATGTTACTCAATTTGACATCTATGTTTTATATGGATTTACTGAGTTTCTGCCTTATCAGAAAGGCATTTCCTGACCAGTCCTATCACTTTCACATACAGCTTTTAATGTGCCACCTTGACTTATCTTTATAGCACTCACAGGCACTACTGTGGGGTCTTTATTTATTTACTGTCAGTTTTCTACCATGAGAATATAAGCCTCCTGAGAGCTATTTTGTTCACCCTAGTAACTTGCATGGTGCCTGACACATATTAAAAATAATAGAAAATATTTATTTTCCTTATTTTTATGAACATTATTGAGCAAAAGTAAAAAAGCTATTTTTTTCTGTCTAAGGTGAAAAATATGTCCAGACAGATAGAGTAATTTAAGTATTGAATTGAGTTCAACCTCGATTGATCAATTTTAGCATTATTTCTATGGATATCAAGAAAATGTCCTGTTTCAAGGAAAGAAACTTCAAAAACTGTGTTATCAGGAACCATAATACTTTAGATAAGTTGGTAGTATAATTTATTGATTGTGTTTTATTTTACTTATTACAGTACAGGGAATCTCAATTGAATTGACATAACTATTAGTGAAAGATTGATTGAGAAACCAAATTTAAATTCTGATTCTAATTATTCACTTGCACTTTAGAGTAATGAATAGAATTAGGACTGTTATATGCATTCACAGGAGCATATGCATCTCTGCATCTGTTACCTTTCCTTGCATTAATCTTTAGTGATGTTATATTTATTTCTGATGTTTAAATGATTGTTATGTAGGCATGAAAGACTATTCAATACATCAAGAAGAAGAAGAACTCTTTTGAGGTGTCTGATGAACTATGACAAATTCTGTGGATCAGCAGTCTACAACTGAATTTCTGATTCAGGAATAGAATCAAGCCAAAGCATCTAAATGTGTGAAATCACTTTCCCTTCTCTCTTTTTCTTCCACTAGCATGGCAGTTGGCCTTTGGGTTGCTTATGAATGTTAATATCCTTAAACTACTAGATATAAAAATGATTTAGAGGATTTAAAATTTCTAAGGAAAAATTATTTATATTTATTATTATCATTTTATTTTTTACCACTAAGGTGCATCTGCTATATGGAAAAGATGTGACTGATATTAAAAAGGGAGTGTTGGAAAAAAAAGAATTCCACTTAAATAATTTAGTAAATTAAATGGAAATTTATAGGTGGAAGAACAGCCCATATGTTAAAGTCAACATCACTATTTCTCTGAAATAAATCTCCCACCCTATTTCACTTTTCCTTGATTGCTTATTGCAACTTAACCCACTCTTTCTCTTCATTTTCCCCACTTACTCTGTGTTCAAACCAGGTTATTAGATTAATAATTGCCACAATACTAAAGATGAGTGATTTGCTTTCCAATTACACAAGAGAGCATGTAAGCTGAAGTGGCAAAAATGAATGGAAATAAAGGAAGGAGGGAAAAAGGGAGGAAGAAAGGAAAAAAGACAAGAGGAAGGTAGGAAAGCAAGAAGGAAGAAGGAAGGAAAGAGGGAAAAGGGAAGGAAGGAAGGAAGAAAGGAAGGGAGGAAGGAAGGAAAAAGTGGTAAAATAAGAAGAGAAGAGAGAAAAGAATAAAGAAAAAGAATAGAAAAAGAGAGGAAGGGAAGGGAAATAAGAAAAATGAGTAAAAGAAAGAGAAGAAAGAAAGGAGCTAATGAAAAGAGATTAAGGAAGCATTTCTCCATTTACTTTTTACTTGAATATAGTGAACCTGGCCAAGCTAACTTTCAACTTCTGTGTAGTTATAGTTGACGATGCATTCCATTAAGGACTTTTTAAAAGGAGGCTAAATATTTGAAATAAATCACAACATAAGTTCAATTGATGGTGGAATTTGCAAAATAGAGAAATTCCTCTAATTTGGGAACAAATGAAGCATGTGGCCGCACATAAAACTCATGTGTTTATTAGCTTGCTAAAGTTGCTTTCTTCATTGAACTCTTCAAATACTTAAAGTAATAATTTCTAAACAGAGTACAAATTGGATTTAGTACAGAAGTCCCAATTCTATAATTCACTAGAGTCATCACTTTTGTTTCTCAACAAAAGTCTCGCTTCTGTTTTCTGAGTACAATATCAAATTATATTCTCAAGCATTCAGACATAGTTTTAACCCTTTTTTCTCAGATTTTTCAAAATTTCAACTAATTAAACATAACTATTTATTTAGTGTTAATGAAGTATATTATCTCTTTTAAAAGATATATCTAAAATAGCCTATGTATGTAAATGACCTCAAAGGGTCACCTGAAAACCATTATTTAGCCTGTCATGTGTAGTTTATTTTATTAAAACCTATTTCATGGCATGAATTTTCTGAATACTGATGAATATAGACAAACTATAACAATGCAAAGAAAATAAATACATTAAGTTATATCAGCAAACATGTTTACCTGTTGGAATGAAGAGTAATTTACTATTCACATTTCAAAAAAATATTTTTGCCTTGAAATGCCTGAGGCTATTGATGAGTTTGGAATTCATTTTCAGACTATTTTAGCTTTTGAGGAAATCTATTTTCAATTCAATATTATTTCTGAAAGAAATTTTAGATTTGTCACCTCTAGAAAGTGATAGTTTTCCTTAGAAAACTGAGATAAAGAAAGCTTGGAAATAGAACTATATCTATTAGAAATGCCTGTATATATGTGTACACATTCTGCATTGCAAATAACACCTCTAACTTCTTAAGCTTGCTGAAAATAACTTTTAAAAATAGGGCATTTAACACCCTGCATAACAGCATAGCTGAAAGTTTCCTGAAGTGTTAAAGAAAAGGCTGGCTAGATGTTTTATCATGATGGCTGAAGGCGGTAGCATTGTGTCTGACACCTGACCCATTTATCTCACTTCGTAAACTTCAAATAAATCAACAGACAACATGGTTTCTCTTTTTCCTAGTTATCTGGGGGTACGTAATGAGAGTTTACCTTATGTTTGCTGCCTACCTTCAGAAGATATATGCTACAACAGTATTTAGTGTGTGTATCTTTACTGTAAATTTTACTAGGCCAGGTATTTTAATAAAACTTTCACATTTCTTTGTTTTGGCATGTATCCATATGTGTCATTTCTGATCTCTCTGCCTCTCCAAGATCATGGTTAGATGATGCATCTCATCGTTATTTCTTTTTCTTTTCCTGAGAATAAACTGTATTTTATAGGAGTTTCTGGTAGGCTTATTTGCATTTTTTCAACAGAGCAACTTTTAATAAAGAAGAAACCTTTGTTAGTTTAAAATTTAATTCTACTTAGAAAATATATTTGTTCTTTAAATATCCCACAGTTTGTACTGGAGAAAAAAAATAACACTTCAGGTTAGACTCTAAACATAATGCATTATCAATGAATTTTAGCCCAGAAAGAATTAGCCTTCTGGGTGCACAGCTTCTCTGTCTTGGCTTCCAGCCAGGGCTGATATTCTAGCTTTATTTTATGTTTCCCCAGCTGCTTTCTAAATCTGGGAAGGCAGCACCAGCCAGAATCTTCTAGTTTGAACACAGTATGCTAAATGCTTCTCTCTTCTCCCTTAGTAATTGCTTGTAAATGATGCACACAAAGTTTGATCTTTGGATTTTATTTCCAAAGGCCCCCTTTCAACTCAAACAGAAAGTACAAGGGGATCATATGAACATTTAACCTACTGGGGACAACTGTTCTACTGGGTTGGAAACATTTATTTAGTACGTTTAAGAACTAATGTTAGTATTGAGATTGAATTATGTTTATTTTAAATCCAAGTATAGAATGCTTTTCTTTGGGAGAAGAAAGAATAGGTATAACAGTTTTTAATCTCAAATAAAAAATGAAAGATCCTTATTTTCCTGAGGTGAACATAAGCATGAGCATATGTTTCTATTTTGATTATCAATTATAGAAATTCCAAATTATGACTTAATATATTTATATATAAAAATAGTCCCCATATACTTCCTTTTGATGTTTAGGATAATATATTTAAAATTACACATTTCTTAAATAATAAGCCTATCTTGGAGAAAACAAAATGTAATTTACATATATTTGCATTTTTATTTATTATTTATATATTTGCATTAATCAATTTAAAAAATTCAAATTTTCAGGAGGTTTTACCTTCCTTTTATTTAAAAATAATGCCTGAGTTTCTAAATTGGATCTAAGGGTGATTTTCAAGTTATATTAGTAACTCATATATATTATAACTTTTTCAAAGGGTTTTTATGTATCAGTCTTAGTGGTGACCAGGTGCCATTCAGATAGAGTTAAAAGGCCCATTCTGCTTAGTATTCAATTTCTAAAAATCTTCCCAATTAGCTTATTATGAGATGTCTATCAATGTAAACATTGTTTAATATTGATCATCATAATGTATTGTCATACGATTTCTTATTTTTAAAAATGTCAACAATAGTAGGCTTAACTTCCCATTTATATATTGAGATAAATGTAAATGGCAATTATATTTTGCTTATTAATTAGTTTTTTATGAATTCCAGTTGAAAACTTAGACTGTTGTAGTCAGTGGACTTTATATTCTTTACATAAACTTGCTACTCACACACACACACACACGCACACACTCATGCACACAAATGACCAGCACAGAACCTATGTGACACTGGGATATAGCTAACTGGCATACTTTTAATAGAGTAGAATAAATTACTCTTTTGATATGAAAAAAAAAAAAAAACCTTTACATCGTTGTGGGAAAATTCATTGCTTCCTAGTTTTGGGGAAATTCAACCAATTACAATAACTTTCATCTTTATCAATTTCCTCTTGGGGCAGAAACCTCACAGGATTTTAACCATGTTGTTGGTGAGAAAGTGGAAAACTAAAATCATTCTGAGAGTTACAGAAACACATCAGTATCTTGGTATGCAATTTATGTTAAAGCATTTATGAAACTGTGCAAATGAAAAATATTCTGATAAAAGGCACCACGAAAACAAGCAAAGGTGAGTTTGAAAGAGACATGATAAAACATAAACTTAAAACTTTCTAAAGCTGTATGAGAACTCACAGTATAACTTATCATAATAAACAAAACATATAATCACTTAAAAAAACTATGACAGGAATTCTGTAGAATATAGTATTTTATTAATCAGGACAAATTCTAAGAAAAATAAGGTTTAATTTTCCTTATTTAGCTTTCTCAAAAAGAATATTGAAAAGAATGAGTAAAACCATATTCCAATAACATTTCTTGTTTTCCAACTTATTCTGTGCTTGAGGAAATTGGAGGTATACCATAAAGCTTTCTGTCCTCCTAGGAAACTATGCTTAGGGCATATGACATATATTGTTCTAAGAATTTATTTTTCTTTTCTAATAGGAGGTAGGAGGAAAGCACCTATTTCTTTATAAGCAATTTATGACTGTAACATACAATTTCACATGTCTGTGACAGCTGTTTCTCTAAAGCAGACCATTAGTACAGAGCATGCCTATAAATCTCAGGTCCAAAAAACAGGAGTTCCCATCTTCGGTAATTTGAATGCCATGTTTTCAGTAACACTTATTAGGGAAACATTTATAACCCTACAGTTAACTTTGGATGTTGAGTTTGTAAAATTGGTGCTTTTAATATGAAAAGGCTAAAGTTGTTATCAAATAAGATATTTCCTATGCAAATGTTCCGGCAACTGTTTAAATTTTATCAAGTTGTATCTCTTTTTTTTTATGTACGACTGTATTTTCTACTTACGTGCAAATATAACTTCTATAAAGCATGATGACAGGTAAGCACACACATGCGGAAAAGGGAGATTGAATTTGGTTTTAAGATATTATCTGCTTCTACATAAATCTTTCACAAATAAAACTTTATTGTGTCCGACTTGTTTACATAGCTAAGCAACGCATATTCATTTATGATACACACCTCGATTTCAGCAAATTAAGCAGTAACTTACCTAGAGAAGCATTTCAATATTTTGTCTTTTTCTAACTTGAATTTATCCCGTGTTAGAACATGAGATATCCAGTATTCAGGTTCACTTGGCTCCAGGTTAATTAGAAGGAGCTTTCAGTTCATGCAATCTGCCTCAACAATATTCCAAGAGCACTCTCTAGCTCCAGTCTTAGTGTCTGAACTCTTCCAGCAGAGTCCTTTTATTTATACACACATTGTCCTTTTCAAAACAAGCAGCCAGCTGGAATGATTCAAACCTCTGTTCAGCACACCGTTAAAATGCAGCTTCCTTCTTGGACACGAGAATTACACCAGGGAGCAGACCGAGTACAGCAAAAAGGCTATGAGAACTATTTAATCACCGGAATACCAGCTGCTCCTGCTCTGCTGTTGCTAGTGCTGCTGTGCCTCTTGTTTAGCTGTAGTCGGTCTTTCCCTCCCTCCCTCTCTCTCACATCTCCAGAACTATAAAGGCAGCTTTGCCGGATTATGATTGGCAGAAACAGCCAATTCCTTCAGCTAATCATCCTCAAGACTTTCAAGGACCTGGAGCTGTTGTGATGTCATCCAGTCAGTGGGATGTTACACATGAATACATTCCAACAGAAGCTAATTCAGCGATGGGCTGCATTCCGCTCACACCGCGGTGATTGATTAGATGCTCCTTGAAGATTTGCATAATCTTTCATTGTACAGTTCGACTATTTCCTATGAAATTTGAGGATAGAATTCCACTTTGCAGCTATGACACTGTTCCACGAGATTCTATTGGACAAAATAAGAAAAGTTCAAAGCAGGATTTTCTGCTGTAAATGTGTGCCAGTTAAACACAAAAATTACAAACTCAACAAAAGCCAACAATGAGCAATAGGAAACTCGGACAAGTATTAGTAAGCTACATAGTCCTGAAGTTAATAACAGCATTTTAGACCATGATAAATGTTAGAAGAAAAGAAAGAGTATGTGCGTGTGAATTTATTGTGTGCATTGTTTTAGTAATTAAGGTAAACTACTGGATTATTATGGAAAAGTTCTTTTCTATGTCTCTTTTCTTCTTTTTAACGTGGCAATATAAGTTGAAAATTACCTGCTCTTTGTTTTCTATTAATTCGTGTAAACACATAAAGATATTATCAAGTACTTTTATATACATTATGTAAAGTTCTTTAAACTTATTCATTAGGATATATGTAAAAGTAAAAGTAAAGTGCTTTCAGGTACTTCTCCTCATTCCAGACTACATGATTCCCTGGGCTTTTCTTGCTTTAGTACATCCCTTAGTTTCTACCATTTAATTTAGTGGAATAAGATAGGCTAATGAGAATTTGGTTCAACACCCCTAATAGGTTGCAGAACAGAACTACAAGCTTTTCTCAACTCCAAGTCCTCCTCAGGTATATGGGTGTCTTTGGTTGTACGTAGTAGTTCCACTTGAAATACTGGTGTGGTTTCAATGAAATCCTCTATAAGACTGGAAGGTAGGGGTAGGAGGGAGTCCTTCAAAACTCAGCATTTATTGATGATGTGGTCTTTCAGAAGAATAATTTTAATGCATCCAGGATTACTAGTATTATTATACTGCACAAGGTTTTGAGGGTTAGCAAGCCATAGACATATGCCATACAGAGAATAGGGAAAAAAAATCTAGCAAGTTAGAAAAAATATTTACCAGTTATTCATAAGCAATAAATAAAACCTAGTAACTCATAGGTCATGTATCAGTTAGTTTTTCAGGTGCACAGGCTAAAATATATTAAAGAAAAAATTTATATTTTAAAAATAATTAAAGCGTTCAGGTACTTCTTACTACCTTTTAAAACATTTGGAATGCAAAGATGCATTGAAGTCAAGTCAGAATTTTCAGAGTGATACACATCAAAATTCAAAATGGATAAATAAACTGCAGTTAAATATTTCAAAGATGTCATAATAAAATAATTATTACTAGAGTAGCATCATGGGAAACACTAACAGTTGATAAATAACATAAAATAGCATAAATTGTAAAAGCCAATTGAAGATTTTTCTGTTGTATGTAGTTTGGCTTACTAATAATGCCTTCTTCTTTATTCAAGTTGGGTAATTATTTTTAAGTCTTAACTTTAGAAAAATAATTTAAATGAAAAACTATTATAAATGCTCAACATCTTTATATTATTGACATAGTTCTATTTCACAACTCAAGAATGCCACTTTATCAGAGTATTTTCATTTATTGGAACTAAATGGCAACACAGTGATCTGAAGATAAAACCCATCACATTAAAACATGGAGCAGGGTTTATATCCTCGGCTCTAGTGATAAACTAGAGCTGATATCCATTGATGATTACAAGTGAAAAATGTTGATCAACTTCTTCTCTAGCATTAAACTATAAACAATGTTTTAAGCTGAAGAGGTAACTACTTTCACAGTGTAAAAATGCTATATAAAATATTAATAGAAGATATTCTTATTAAAGGTAAAATTCTTTTAAATATTTGTGAAACATGAACTTTGAAATTCAAAAAATCCAGAGATGAGTAATTAAAATTCAATTTAGGGAAAAAATACCCAACTTTACTCTCCCTGCCTCATTTTTCATTCAGAAATACACTAAGTACTGAAGGCAGAGGGTCCCACCATATACATATGTATAAATGAATGGAAACCCACCAAAAAGTGCTTTCTTTTCTATTCCTGGGGAAAACCAGAGAAATTCACAACACTCACACTAAAACAAAACAAAATAATCCTCAAAGTATTTTGAATATTTTTCTTATACTTTTCTTTGTATATTGTATTCGCAAATGACTAAAACAAACATATTTGTGAATTTGTAATCTTTTATCATTTTCTCATCTGTCATGTTGGGAAAATGAAATAAATGACCTTGGACATTTCTGGGAAGAAATGTAATACACAAGAGAGAAAAGAGGAAATAATTACTTGCTCAAAGTGTTTTAATTTTTTAAATCATTTAACTTGTGTTCCACAATTTACAGGGCTTGCACTTAAATATCAAAATGTAGCATCAAGTCAGCTCATTTTCAACAATACACGCAATGCAAAGCATTCACCCAATTGCTTATAGTTGACTTTTAAGAAGAAAGTGGATGCTTTTAAGTTTCTTTAAGCACTCTATAAAGTATAATATAATTGTTCTTTTATCTATTAAGATGTAGGTCCAGACTTATATTAAGACCTCAATGGATTTTTAAAAAATTGAATTGAACTTGTTGAACTAATAAACTTTTAGAGCTCCACATATTTTTATTCAGTTGCTCTCTTGACTCAGCAAAAGTTAAAGTAGTATTTGCCCACTACAAAACCTTTTCATTCAACTGAATTTATCTTTGAATTTACCTTTTAAATTTTCAGTGGCGTTTCCTTGGAAGTTCAAGAAATGTGTATGTGTTATATGCATTATTTGGAAATTTTAAAAGTGAAAAACATTGAAAACATTATATAATATACACTTATAACATATATCTAAGAACATAATATACTTTCAATTTAATTTATAAATACATATATACGCTTTGTTCTTTATAATACACACATATATCTTTGTATATACTTACTCAATAGAAGAAAAAAAGATGTTTATTTTAAAAGGAAGGTCTTTTTTTTGTTTGTATGTCAAGTCTTTATTACAGTGAAAATGAGAGGGTAGTAATATCTACTAATAAAAATCTTAGAAAACTTCAAAAAAACTCGGTAAATTTAACAATTTCAAAAATTTTCATCATTTTCTTTCTCATTTTGTTCTGCTAATTGTTACTAATGGTAAGTTTTAAATGCTTGCCTCTAAAATAAATAAAGGTTTGCACAGAAAATACTAAAACAAGATTCCAAGTACTTCATAATTTCTACTTTTTAAAAAATTATTCACATGCATATACAGGCTATAAACAGAAGATATTTAGATCTTTAAATGTACATTTTTATTCATTTCAAGTTTCATCTTTTTTGTTACTTTTAGAGCAAAAATAATTTTGAATGAGCACAACCAAATAAATTTATAGTTCTCACAATTTTGATTGAATGCGTTTAGTTTAATTTACAGTCTTCACTACTAAAACTTATAAATACAAGATTCTATTACCACACTACCACTTTCTGTCTATATCCTTTTCTTTTAATTTTATTTTTTAACATGAGCAACTATCCTGTTGTACCAACACGAAAGGCTATAACTCTTTTTTAAAAGAAAAAGCATGAATAAAAGAAACTTCTACGTTCAAAGTTTATGCCTTCAGGGAGCAGGGGAAGCCTCTAATTGGGCTGTGAGTGACTAATACAAAAACTTTTTATTAAGAGAAAAAAATCTTCTGCTAGCAATTGTTAGGATAAGAACTTATGTGAGAAAGAAGTTGCATAAAGTCACTTTTGCTTCAATGGTATCATAATACATGATAAAAAAATCGTAAGTGCCAAATAGCATTACGTGGATAACAAACACCCCAGTCACAGACTTAGATGTTATCTTATTACACATCTGGATCTCTTGTTAGCAAGTTATTAGAAAAAGGGAAAAAAATAGGAAGAGCAGGTTGGAAGAAAGAATCTTTTTGCCAGTATCACTCTAGTGCATTGTTGTAGCAAGAGAGAAATCAGCATGTTAATGCTTCAAATAAATCCTTTGAAGATGCAAAACTTGAAAGGCCAAGTGAGGGAACAAACAGACTAAACAGTCCAATTCCAGTTTGGCAGACAACTACTTAAAGGAACATGATTTTTAATAAATAGCAGTTGTTGGCCAAAACACCATTGCATCATAAGAAATTTTGTTGTCACTAAAATGTTAGCACTCAAGTGAGAGACCCAGGGTGAGGTGGGGGAGGACAGTAAAAATTAAATTTATGATTTTTCCATGGTCTGATCTTTGCTATGAGAATTTTCAGTTAGTTTCTCTTTTAGAGGGTACACAAAGGTGAGGAGAGTTCATAAAGCGCATTAATTGGGCCCCAACTCCAGCGGGAGTGTCTCATCAGAGTAGGATCTTTAAATACCTTATAGGGGTTGTATAAGTTTTATCTAGGATAGGTAGTTTCAGTTTGTTTCTTTCTTTGTTTCTCTTTTCTTTGGAATTTTCATTTGCCAAATTTTATTAGGGTTTGATGGTGATTTCCTTTTGACTTACGCCTTACAAGTCATTTTACATTCTCTAATTTGAAGTCCTAAATGTTCAAAGTGAGAAAGCTACTTGCAGACCAGAATCATAGCATCACAGTGATAAGTTTGATAAAATTCTTTTTGTCATATAGGATATTTTCTTTCATCTGTTACCAAATTTTTTGTATTTTAAATATCCCAATATCATTTGTTTTCCGCCTGCTCCAGTCCTTCAGGGAAAGACATCTCATTTATGAACTATTTGGCTAATGCTCTGATCAGCATGGGAAATCTTAATTTTTTACTAAGCCTTAGCAAATCAGTTTCTGTCCTGTTAGCTTCAGTGCCTCACTGTAAATTATCGTCACTCTGGGGTAATTCACTGGATGCTGTCACTCTTTCTCCTATTTGGTTTAAGCCGTGTGTGTGTGTGTGTGTGTGTGTGTTGGGGGACCATGTTGAGATGGTAAGTTGTGAGGAAGTGGTATAAGAACATGAGATGTTCTAAAGCAAGTCAACAATGGCTGAAAGTTTCCTTAAGCTTGAGAAGCAATACTTGTGAATTCTAAGTCATGCTGTATTCCAAGACCTGTAAACCCAGTGTTGCCCTCTGTAACCAGCTAGCAATGGGGTACACAGCATTATATTGCTATTGTTGCCTGATTTGTAGGCACACACATAATGCTAGCAATGAAGTCTTTATTCTTTGAGGACAGAGATAATCTCTTTTGTTTTTGTTTGTTTGTTTGAGGCTTATATCCTTAATACTTGGAGCAGTGCCATGGCATAGTTACTGACATTTAAAAAAATAAATTTATGAATGAATGAACGAATGATGGCAACCCAAAGCTAGAAAATAGGGAACCAGAAATTAACATTTCCCCTACAAATATATTTTCAATGAAACTGTTGCACCAGTTCTGTATGTCACAAATAGAAGCAACAATTCATTTCAAAAGGAAGATGCAAAGATACATTATAAAGCAATTTTCCCCATGGATAAGAAGACCCAGATTAGTTTTCCTTTTTAGAATCCATGTCATTTAATCTTCCTAATATTATTCATGAATAAAAATATTTTAGTAAAAATATTGTCATATATTTTAAAGAATTGAAAATATTTTATACATTACTGTAATTTGGTTTGCATTTATAGAATCAGAAGAATGGCACTGTAAATTCTAAATATTCCTTTATGTAAAATGATTTGTTTGTCTTCCATATTAAGTATAATTTTATTTTAGAACTTTAATTGGTGTTTCCCTTTTCTGAAAAGGAATTATCATAAATGAGATGATATGAAGTAAATGAAAATATAGTACTCCGAAAACAGAGATATTTTACAAAAGAAAACCAAACAAATAATTAAATATAATGTAAAATAAATAAAGTAAAATGAATTCTGATACTCTAAACCTACTATATAATAAAACAATGATGAATTTTTTTGTCAGCTCAGCTGTTTATACCTGTTAGAGGGTGGGAAAGAGCAAAGTAATTAAATTAAGAGGAAAGAAAAATCATGTGATGAACACAGGAGTGTATGAAAGAATATACTTATCACCCTGCTAAAATATTCAATATTTTACAATATTCCCATAGAGGGCAATATTGTATAAAAGATGGTGAATGAAGACTCTGCCAATTCATCTCTGTTGATATGCTTTAAAGAAAACTGCTGTTACCATAAATTTGGAGCTCCACTTCCCCTCAAACTCTAATATATAAACTGATGCACACAAAAACATAACACAGAGTCTCATCAAAGGCAAAGAAAATTAATTTGGTATCACTTACTGGTAGATTACTTGAGTGAATAGCCTCCAGTTTCACCTTTAATTTGATTTAATCACTGCATCTCAGATCTCAGATAGCAGATTGAATTCTCCTATATAACTTACATCTATAATACACACATGTACATATATATACACAATACCATTTAGTTTATTTGAAATATTAATAAGGTAGTGCCTTCTTCAGTGCCTGGAAAGTAAAGGTAAACTACAGGTAACATATAAAGTGCGGCAAATTTTGTAAAATCGAAGTCTTATCAATGATTCAAATATAACTCTAAGGATCTAACCATAGAATAGGGCTGGGCCATGGAGAATGCAAAATTATACTTAGCTATATCTCTCAAATTTATTTCTATTATAAAATCATCTTGCACTCATCTACCTTCCTTATTTAAATATACTCCTTTACCTTCCCCTCTTGTAACTCAAAAATAGATTGCTTCACTGTAAAACCCTTCCTCTCAAAGATGTTAAGTATATTAGAACTTGAAACATTTGCTCTTGAATGACCTTTGTAATAACTGCTAATTTGCATTTAGCATATACTGAAAGAAAAGACATTGTGCATTCTGTAGTATCATTAAAACATACTATTATCTTAAACATTCAATTATCTACAGATTTTAATACACATAGTGATATGGAATACATGGAATTATGAAGCATACTATAACATTCTACCTGTCTGCTATGCCACAGATGCAATTCTACCTTCAGAGAGATGAGTCTCCTCAGTTCCCTCGTTATGAGATGTCCTATACAAGATCATTATGATTATATCCTATAAAAATTATTTTAAGGCTAATGTAAATAAATGAAAATTAATACGACTATAAGCCAGATTTAGTCATAAGAAATATAAATCTAGTCCTTTTATTTAGGACATCCAATTTGTACCTGAATATTAAATCAAACTAGAGTAAACTGTTTAGTTCAAATTAAATTATGTGAATCTTTAAAATAACGTTAATTACTTGTCAAGTACAACTTCTCAAGTCTAAATAATTAATATTCTTTAATCTGCCAAAGTAACTATGGTAATCAAGCAATTCTTGTGTGTGTTTGCAGTTAAACAAGAGGTACATTTAGAACAATCTGGTTTCTTGAAATCCCTATCTCAAATTTCCAGATTACTTTGAAAGGAGTTATTCCTCCAGCATAAAGCACTATTTGGCCTGACCCTTCATGACCACTGTTAGGATGATTAAGGGAAAAAGGCTATTTGTTGAACCTGATACTCTGAGTCACAGTTGATAGTAGAGGTTTGTTCCAATTTACTTGCTTTCATAATACATTCAATACTAACATTATGTAATCTTCAACTCATTTTTAAAATCTTCAGAGTTTTCAAAAGATGTTCTCATAGATTATTTGATTTGAGGGTCACAATGATCCTATTATTAGTTATTGTGGTATTATATCTGCATTGTATAGGTTAGAACACTGAGACACAAGTAGCAAACCTGGGATCAGCAACAGGACTCACTAATCCTTAGCCCTGTGGTCTTTCCACTATACCAAACAGTCGTCTGAATGAACGTCCCTGGAGAATGCCCCTTTTCATTACTCTGTAAGCAGAGTGGCCTTTCAGGTGGCCATTCAAAACCCTGTGCTTTATAATCCACTTGGTAATATATAGATAAAACAAGAGTTATGCTTTTAACCTTTCTATATGGCAAGTTACCAATAATTTGGTAGCATTGAAATTCTGATATCTTCTCCATGAATATGTTTTATACAAATGCTTATCTATACCAAGATCTGTTCTAAAGAATAGTAGAGAAGGAAAGATTTAATTAGGCTTTAGAAATACTAGGCAGCACAGGGAATCATAGTTCATAGTCATTGGCATATGCTAAGGGGAGAATTAAAATGAGGGAAACTTGTGAGATTTTATTTTCTGTTCATTTTTATTTAAATTATACAATTTCTTTTTCTGGTTTGAAGAAAGAGGTGGATCAGAGAATTTCTCAGACCGGTGCTAAGATATCACAATCTAGATCACTGGTTGTGAAATTTTTGTGACCCACAACACAGAGACACTAAACAAGAATTTCAGAAAACAATTCTTACTTCTTAGTTGACTGTGTGCAGTGCATTTGATTTTCTTTTTTGTTCCATTCCATTCCATTCTATAAACATTTTGAAATGCTGACCTAAATCTACTAATGTAAATGCATATAAAGAGTCATGAACTGAATTTTAAAAAATGAATCTAGATTCATTATGTATTTATACAGTACTGAATATAAAAAAAGATCAAGTCATTTCCATGGTATAATAATTGGAACTTTTCCCTAATTTTTCATTTAGCTATTTTAATAATCTAAGCAGAACACCATTATTATTTCACAAAGTGACTGTCAATAGAGAATGCTATTCTTTGGGAATATAGAGGCAAAGAGGCAGACCAGGTTGTCATACAAACATGGAATTAAATGGAGCTTTGAGGTATACAATAATAGCACTGGCCTCTCTTCATGTAGACAACACCAGAATAACTAATACGTTAATTCCTTTTAGGACTTTAATTATTTACAATTATAAATTTATAGATAAACACTTAAAAATTCCAAATTTCCAATTAAACAGGAAAAATGAGTTTTCATAAAACTGTGCAGTGTAGCACTCAGTATTTTTTCATGATTACTGTGAAAAAAATCATAGAAATGTTATCACTACCTTAATGCTATCTTACTGCTGCCTTACAAGTCTGGAAGAATTTTAGGGTGCTACTATTAAGCTCATTTAGTTGTGTACCGTTTGTAGAGTGAGAAGTTCTGACCTAATTCGAAAATTTTAAAAGGTTATTTTCTTTTGTGAAATGTGTAGCTATAATTTGAGGAAAATAATCATTGCTTCAAAATATAGAAGAAAGAAGAAAAAATGTAGCAGAATGCATGATTTGTCTAATTCTTCAGCCTTTTGTCATGTGACTTTGTAGTTCCTCTCAATAAGAAGGTTACCATATTTCCCCACCCCTTTTCTTTTGGTGGTGGTACATGAATCGCTGTGACAGTAGAATGAAGGGGAAGGGACATTATGCTAATTTCAGGTTTGCTTTCTTGTAATTCCATCATCACTGTGAGAAGGACATGCCAGGGCACATGGACCAACACTGCCCAGCTTAGGTATTCTTGCCAAGACTAGCTTAGGGCAGAGCCCATAAATCACCTATATGTGCATGAGCAAGCCTAGTCAATACCAGCAAAAGACAACCAGATCAGCTGAACCAAACAGACCTGCTGATCCATGAGCTGCAAGGAGAATAGAGACAGAAGCAAATTATATTAATGCAATGAACATAAAAATAAATGGAGCTTTGAGTTATATATTAATGTTCACCTCTTTATATCAGTAACAGCAAACAATATTAATTCATTTTGGTAGTACAATTGTTTGGATTTATGGGTTTTCAGATAAAAACTTAGAAATGCATGTCTTAAAAATTTTAAAGACAAAAATGTATATTTAAGACATAAATTTTGGATAGCTTGTTACACAGAATTACTTAATTGACATAAAGTTGTTTTCTCTCCAGCTAAAGTTGTTGTAAAATATCTTATTCTACCTAATATATAGCTATATGAATTGAAGCAAGAAAAAATAATGATCATGTTTCCTTATCAGTAGAAATTGTTATATGATTTAAAAATGTTTCTATCTATAGTAAATTTTTTAAAATACTCTTTAAAATGTGAGTAAATTTCAACCTTTTTTTTTACCCTGTTTAGGTCTGCCTATTTCCTTGGAGCAAACATATTCTTTGATTCTTAAACAATTTGCTATTTTATTGTTAAAGTAAATATGGAGTTCAAAGCAGAAATGGCACTCATAACTCCACAGCAATGTTTGTTTGTTTCTTTTTTACTTTCAGCCAAGATATAAAGTAAAAGTCATACCTTTTTAAAGTAAGTGAATTTTTGGTACTAAATGATCCTAAATTTATGGAGGAAGACATTTTTGACTGACGTTATTTATGAATGAATTATTGGAGTACCATCAATTTTACTGTAAAGCAGCAACTGTAAGCTAAGTAGATTTAACTATAATAAAATATATTAGCTAAAGACACTCAACCTAAGTTTTTAAGTTGATGTTAGTCTGCTTGAAATGAGGACAAATTAATATTTCATTGATTCACACTTACAGAATCATTTCACTTTGCCAAGACAAAAATGTAAAACAAAGAAAAAATACTTTGATTTCTAATTTCAAAAATACAGTTATTGGTTTGCTGTGTCCATTTTCTATTAAAATTAAGACATATTAATACTTCTATGTAGGAAATACGTAGACAAATGGCTAGTAGAGTTGGCCCTCCATATCTTTGGATTCCTGACCCATGGATTCAACCAACCACAGATCCAAAATACTTTTTAAAAGAGACTGGTTGTGTGGTTGTGCTGCACTGAACACGTACTGACATTTTTCTTGTAATTATTCCTTAAACAGTACAGTGTAACAATTATTTACATAGTGCTTACATTGTATGAGTTGTTATAAGTAATCTAGAGATAACAAAGTATACTGGAGGATGTACGTATGTTATATGCAAATACTATCCCATTTTATATCAAGGACTTGAGCATTCTGTATATTTTGGCATCCACAGGAGGTTTTGGAGCCAATATTCAATGGATACTAAAGGACAACTGTGTACATCAAATCACTTATCTTTTAAGTACTGAGAAATGAGAATAATAATCCTCAAATAATACTAGCAAGTAGTAATAATGACCACAACAATAATAGTTTCACAACTAATGTCATCAAGTAACAGAAATGCCAATAATAATAGCAAGTACTATTTTTCAAACCTTTATAGGGGTGAGGCAATGTGCTAAATGGTTTGAGTTCCCTTCATGATAATACATTTAAGACCAAATTGGGATAGGTATCGTGTGAACCTTATTAGATTGTGTAAACTATGTGTCTGTATGCATTTATAGTCTATAATTTGTTAAGAGTTAAGAATAACAGAAAGAGAAATGGAAGAGGAGGAGCAAAATGAGAATAGAGAAGAAATGAAGCCACAGCCTTATGTTAATGATTATAGCAAACTTTGAGTTAGCCTGGTATCTTCTAAGCCGTTTTATTTTATTAAAATTAATGCCCTTGGCCAGGTGCGGTGGCTCACGCCTGTAATCCCAGCACTTTGGGAGGCTGAGGTGGGTGGATCACGATGTCAGGAGATCGAGACCATCCTAGCTAACAGGGTGAAACCTCGTCTCTACTAAAAATACAAAAAAAAAAAAAAAAATAGCTGGGAGTGGTGGCAGGCACCTGTAGTCCCAGCTACTCGGGAGGCTGAGGCAGGAGAATTGCTTGAACCCGGGAAGCAGAGGTTGCAGTAAGCCAAGATGGCGCCACTGTACTCCAGCTTGGGCGACAGAGCAAGACTCCGTCTCAAAAAAAAAAAAAAAAAAAAAAAAAAAAAAAAAAAAAAATTAACGCTCTTACGCCTCATTAAAAAACCTACCTCATACAATACAAATGAAGATATTGAATTACAGAGGGGTTAAGTATCTAGTTTGCCCAGGGTGGTTGGCTGGCATATGAACTTGATTGGTCCAGCTTCTAAGCCCACAATTTTAACCTCAGACCACACAAATGGGAAGATACGCAGTACCCAATACCGGTAAATTTCAGTACTGTTCGGTTCTTTCACTCCCTACTTTTCAAAGCACTATTAAATCATCTAATCCTTATAGTTTAGAATGTCTGAATTATGAAACAGAGAACAATGCCACAGTGGAAAGTACAGTAAAACATTAAATTATTACTAAGATACATTTAGAGGCAATTTATTAAAAAGGAAGGAAAATCTCTGCCAGATGATAATCAATAAATTGAACAAATCAATAGCAAATTGAAATAAATGACAGAATCAAATGTTAGGATTTATCTAATCATAAAAGAAACCAGTACATAAAGTTACCTATACAACCTGGTTTGACATGGGCAGTTATAGCTAATTCCTGCTGTTCAGGCTTAGCCTTTTCCTGAATTTTTTATTTTCTTTGAACTAAATATAGTTGTTAATGGTTGCATATGCCAGGATGGGGTTGGTAGACTCTCACTTGCTACTGCCTGCCTTTGCCATATTCTCTTCTTGTATTGTATTAGAAACACATGCAAAGCACAGAGTTCTCACTTTAACATGTAGTTAACTATGGAAGATTACTAATTACACATCTCTTTTTTTCCTTTTGTTAGATTTTTTTCAGTCTGAACTCCCACCTGTCTTTCCACCTCAGCATTCAGGATAGTTGTTGATATAAGGAAAGTACTTGGATACTTGTAGTCAAGGACATACCTCATGCTGAGAGGGGGGCCATGGTGGTGCTGAAGGCTGCCAGATGCATGAAGCCACCAGAATGCGTCAGTGGGATCAGCGGGAGGTAAAAGTTCTATTTTTGTGAATGTGAAATCTGTGTGGGTAATAAATAATAAGGAGCTGTACCATAGAGTTTAAAGAGAGTTTATAGAAAGAAGTTCAAATATTTTTTCTTCTGTAGTTTGCAGTATAATTCAATGATATAATTAGCTGCTATTTATGTTACTATTTGAAAATACTTTTTATGTTGCAATAGTACTTTGCAGCAATCCGATTTTTAAAAGTCCATGTTTAATTTAAAAAAGTATTTTATTTCCCTTTTCAAAAAATGTTGATAGAATCACTAAAGGCTATGTGATATTACTTCTTATGAAGACAACCACTGCAAGTCTGCTAAACAAGTTCTAGGAACTAGTTAAAATGTTACAGCTAGTTTAATTCAAATGTGCTCACAATGATTTATCATACAGAGCTCCAGAAGGGCACTTACATATCATTTTGTGAAGTATGTGTTTTCAATTAAATCATATGACTTCTTCTAAGCCAACTTTTATTCTTTTGAATTCTAAGATTTTTTTCTGTATGTATGAAAAATGAAATGTAAGTATTGAGCCTTTAGAATAAAAGTAGCACAAGAAGATAAAAATAATTTGAAAATAGCACATTCTGAAATGTAAAATATAAATTTTAAATTTTATAAAAATTTAATAATGGTTTGAAAATTTTTTCTCTAGTTCTTGGAATCAAAGAAAAGCTACTGGAATTTAATCTGACTTTTAGCATCATTGTACATGTTATCATAAACTCAATTAAAACTCACTATTAAAGATAAAAGGAATGGTTTTGTAATTAAAAGTGCAAGTTTTGGTAAAGCAGATAATCATAAGAGCAACATTTTTACTAAATAAGTTATAAAGTGGAATTGGAATGTATTGAAATTGTAGTGCATAAATAATTCATAATTGATTTCAAACAATCTAATATTTTTCTAATGCAAGATAAGGTGTGCCTTTAATAATTTTCAAATATTTGTATATATACACAGCTAGAGTTTTGAACTACAATGTTTTTGTAAAGAAGCTGATAGCTAATGTTGAAAATATGTATATACATACATATTGTTGAATATATGTATATGCATACATATATAATATGTGTGTGTGTGTGTTGAATATATATTTAGCCTAGCAGGATGTGCTTTCTTTGCTGTGATCAATCAGATTTTAGAGGTATTTCATCTTCTGAAGAACTATTTTGTAAATCAACCTAAGTGTCCTATAAAGGTATTTATTTTTCTTTTTTAAAAAATATGTATAAATTTAAAGACTGTAAGTAGAATTGCTTAATTTGATGTCTGGACTTTCAGCATCACCATCACTCAAATAATTTACATTGTATCCACTAAGTAATACCTCATCATCCACCTTTCTCCCGCCCCCTAACCCTTCTGAGTCACCATTGTCTATCATTTCACACTCTATATTCATGTGTACACATTATGTAGCTCCCAGTTATAACTGAGAACATACAGTGTTCCTCTTATCATTTCTGAGTTGTTTTCTTTAAGATAATGGCCTCCACTTCCATCCATGTGGCTGCAAAAGGCATGATGTCATTCATTTTATGGTTAAGTGGCATTCCATTGTGTATGTATATCACATTTTCTATATCTAATCATCCTTTGAGGGACGCAGGTTTATTTCATATCTTTACTATTGTGAAGAGTACTGAAATAAACATGAGTGCATGTATCTTTTTGATATAGTCATTTATTTTCCTCTGGGTAGATACTAATTAGTGAGATTGCTAAAAGACATGGTAGTTCTATTTTTAGTTCTTTGAGAAATCTCCATAATATTTTTCATAGAGGTTGTACTAATTTACATTTCCAACAAGAGTATATAAGCACTCCCTTTTCTCCACATCCTTGCCAAAATCTGTTATTTTCTGTCATATCTTATCATAATAATAGCCATTCTGAGAAGCTTATGCACAGCAAAAGAAATAATCAACAGAATAAACAGAGAAGCTGCAGAATGGGAAAAATATTTACAAACCATGCATCCAACAGAGGATTCATATCCAGAATTTACATGGAACCCAGATAACTCAACAACAGCAACAACAACAATAACAAGCATTAAAAAAGTGGGCAAAACACAGAAATAGACATTTTTCAAAAGAAGCTATACAAATGGTCAAGAAACTTGGGAAAAAAAGATGAACATCACTAATCACCAGAAAAATGCAAATTAAAATGACAATGGATATTATCTTACTCTAGTAAGAGTGGTATTTTATTTATTTATTTATTCATTATTATTTTGAGATGGAGTCTCACTCTGTTGCCAGGATGGAGGGTAGTGGTTCAGTCTCTGCTCACTGCAACCTCCTACTCCCTGGTTCAAGCGATTCTCCTGTCCTCAGCCTCCTAAGTAGCTGGGATTACAGGCACGCACCATTTATGTCTTTTCTAATGCATTAAAAAAACTTGAAACAAGCATTTGATGAAGGGAGTGCTAAAAATTTTTCATTTTCAAGGTTTACTGACATCATTGTTAACATCAAAATTTGCAAACAAAAAGCATTGAAATTAAGTTGTATAAAGGCAAAGTAAGTACTGAGTAAATCAAATTATATGATTTCAAGATATGTAGACAATTTAGTTTTTTAATTGTATATTGCACTTTGGAATATCTTGAATTGTAGGAAGAAATTCAGGGTCTTTTTATTTCATTGTATGCCTTTATATCTCATATTGGAATTTTGTAACCCATCATTTTAAATTATATATTATTTTAGGTTTTAAAAAATGTTTATGGATACGTAATAGTTGTACATATTTATGGGAAACAGGATATTTTGATACAAGCATACAATGTGTAATAATTAAATTAGGGTATATTGTTGATGCATAGGAAATGACTCTTCGTGAATGCTCTCAGTGAAAATTTGGGAGTGTTTTATATTTTGCTGCAAGGGGATATCTATTGTTTTCCCAAATATAGATATTTAGGCAATCTGGCCTTATCTGCCATCATTCTCATAACAGAATTATTTTCCATTAGAATTAACCTATCTCCATGTTCATATGCCGTATTAAGTCAATTAAACTTGAGGTTAGACCTTATTCCATCCTTGTTGGTATAAATAATAGAATTGGGAATATTAATATGTTGTGATAAAGTAGAATCCCAATCTAGTGATTCAGAAGACTTGAATTCCTAGGTCTGAATCTGCAAACAACTAGACCTTGGATCTTAGCATCTTTGAACATATTTCCTGAGGAAATAAAACATTTAACATGCAGTTTACTGTCCACAATACAGCAATATTACTTTACTACTCCAGGAAACTTCTGCCCAGTAAGAATAAAAGTTGCAAATGACTTTACTATCTATTCAGGGACTTCTCAAAGATCTATTTAATGAATAACAAAGTTGTCATCTTCTCAACAGGTAATTTCAATTAACTTCTTACTCTTCATGATTCTTTAAAATGTTTGTCTAAAAGCCCTCACTCTGATGTTTCCAACAATCCTAAACTATTCCATCATAATCCCTACCCAGTGCCAATAATGCCCTCTTCAATCCCCACATTGAAAGACTGCAAAAGTCTCATGAATATACAACCTTTAACCTCTCATTTGAGAGAAGACTATGACTCTGTTAAAATTGTGCTCCTCCTGACCAGGTAAGCAAAAAACTATCAGAGAAGTCACAGAAAGAACTAGGGGACAGAAAAAGAAGGAAGCAAGAGGCTAGCAGAGATCGAACCCAGAGGGACTTGGTATGTTGTCAAAAGGTTAGATGGGAGTGTTTTTGGTTCCCCTCATCCCAGGGGCAGACTGCTGTTTCCAAACTATCAGAGAGCTCCCCTGCCCTCACAATCCCAAGCACTTGGTTGAGCAATGATTTGGGTACTTCTTGAGGGCATTATGCTACACTACCAGCTTGCACAGGGCCACTCGCCCTTTCTCCAAACCTGAGCTATAGTAGCAAGCTACTATGCTGGGTATATATCAATTGTGAGACTCTGCCCTGCTGGAACTGTAGCCTTTGTGTCTCCACATCACTGAATGCCCCCACAGACATTCTCCAGTACCCATTCAGATTGTGGCAGCCACACAGAGCTGGCTGGACCCAGGGGAGCTGCAGGAGTTCCAGTGGTCTAGCCCTCAGGGCGTGCTGCTGCAAAGGGAAGGGAAAGTACAGAACATCAAGAGACAAGAGCATCCCTTGAGACAAAGGAAACCAAAGCATGTATTTTGCTGTACCTGAGAACTTCCAGCATGTGGGCTGAGAAGGACTACACCTCTTCCACTAGAGATGCAGACATTGTGCTTTGCTCCAGGCATCCTACATACTTAGACACACACATGGAGAGAGAAACTTTTCTTTCTTGCTCACTGCTACAGACACAGCTGTGGGTGATCCAATAGGAGACTGGCATAGGTGTACAAGTGGATGGCCATTCTAGGACTATTAGGGGTGGCAGTGCCCCCATTGGCAGTGTGTACAACAGGCTTGGGTTTGCATGAAATGCAGATCCTATCCCTACTCTACACAGAGTGGTAGCATTGCTCCAGTAGAGAGTAGGAAAGCCTCAGATCTGTGTTTGGGGCTGAAGGAGAATGTTCCACTGAAGTGGACTCCTGCCTGCCCAGGCCATGGAGCTTGGCCAGCTCCCTCACCACCTGCAAAACCCTCAGTGCATTTCATCAGCACCTTCCCTACAACCCCCATCAGGGCTGGTGCATTTTTTCACCACTGAGGGATACAAGGGTGAGATTGGTGGACCAGCTCCATCCAGCTTTGTCCCCTCCTCAGGGGCTGAGCATGGATCTGAGGGCACTGGGTATTCCACAAACCAACCCATTCCTTGAGGCCACAGAGAGCATCTTTTGGTAAAGAAAAAGAAGCTTATACCCATTGGTCTCTTCCACAGCCAACTTTTACCCATAAGCATCTGGCCTGGAGGTTGAACTACATACCCAATGCAAAACTTGCCGACACGAGTGTACAGCACAGGGGAATAAGATAAGCTTCCTGAGACCTCCACTGTCCCAGCACCACAGGAGGCAGGGAACCTGCTCATATGCCTAATACATCACTAGTATAACCAGCATTTGAGGAAGCTACCACAAAAATCTATAACTAAGTAACTCCTACAGAGTTTTTTGGCACTAAAAGCACTCAGAACTAGAACCAAATGACCATATACAACTTGTATTATATTCACATCCTCAAGGGGAAAAGAAATCCCATCCAAATGAAAGTAAATTCAAGAAAAAAGGAAAAGATATTTTATTCAGATGGGAAGAAACCAGAAAAAGAATTCTGGTAATATGAAAAAACAGTGTTACAACATCCCCAAAGGATCACATTAACTCCAGCAAGGATCCTAACCAAAATGAAATCTTTGACATTCCTGATAAAGAATTGAAATCATTGATTTTAAAGAAGCTCAATGAGCTCCAACAGAAAGGTGAAAACCAATACAAATAAATCATAAGGATAACTTAAGATATGAGTGAAAGATTTCCTAAAGAGATAAATATTAATTTTAAAAATCCAGAACTTCTGTTAATAAAATATTCATTGAGGGAGTTACAAAATACGGTTGAAGACTTTAACATTAGACTAGTCCAAGAAGAAGAAAGAATTTCAGACCTTAAAGGCAGGTCATTTTTATTAACCCAGTCTGCCAAAAATAAAGTAAGTGGATTTTAAAAAATAAAGTTTTTGAGAAATATGGGATTATGTAAAATGTTTAAACCTATAAATTGTAGGTATTCCTGAAAGAGAAAAGGAAAAAATAAAAGTATGTAAAATTTATTTGATGAAATAATTAAAGAAAACTTCCCTAGTCTTGTGAGAGATTTAGACCTCTAGATATAGAAGGTCAAAGAACTTCAAGAAGCTACATTGCAAGATGAATTTCACCAATTCATATAGTCATTAGAGTATTGATATGGTTTGGCTGTGTCGCCACACAAATCTCATCTTGAATTCCCATGTGTTGTGAGAAGGACTCAGTGGGAAGTAATTGAATCATGGGAGCAGGTCTTTCCCATGTTGTTCTTGTGATGGTGAATAAGTCTCATGAGATCTGATGGTTTTATAACGGGGAATTTCCCTGAATAAGCCCTCTCTTTGCCTTCCACCATCCACGTGAGATGTGACTTGCTCCTCCTTGCCTTCCACCATGATTGTGAGACCTCCTCAGCCATGTGGAACTGTAAGTCCAAAACCTCTTTCTTCTGTAAATTGCCCAGTCTCAGGAATGTCTTTATCAGCAGTGTGAAAATGGACTAATGCAAGTATGTGAAGTCAACATGAATTTAAAAATCCTAAAATTAGTAAGAGAGGGGCATCTAATCATCTATAAAGAAAATCCCATCAGACTAACAGTGTGTTTCTCAGCAGAAACCTTATAAGCCAGAAGATATTGAAGGCCAATTTTGAGACCTCTTAAAGAAAAAGTAAAAAAAAAAAAAATAAGTAAATAAATAAAATACCTGTCAGCCATGAATTTTGTATCCTGCTAAAACTAAGCTTCATAAATGAAGGAGAAACAAGACAAGCAAACACTAAGGAAATTTGTCACCTCTATACAAGACAGATGAGAAACGCTAAAAAATGCTGTAAACATGGAAACAAAGGGTCAATACTCACCATCATAAAAACATACAAAATTAGAAAACTGACAGGTCTTATAAAACAATTACAAAATTGAGACTGTAAAGCAACAAGAACAAAATTAACATTACAATAGGAGTAAAACATCAATATTAACATTGAATATAAATGGACTAAATTAT